>NC_000008.11:32890405-33193435 GCF_000001405.40 Homo sapiens
TCCACAGGACTTGGACCTCATCCAATACTGCCTAATGCCCTCTCCCTATCATTTTCAGTCGCTGAGTTCCTTCTGTTCTTCTCCTGTCTCCGTATTCAGCTAGATTTTGTGATATTCCATTATGTTCCTGCTCTTGTCCAGCTCATCTTCCATTGTACCTCCTTCCAAAAATGCCAGCTCTTTGATAAATCTAACCTCCAGTACTCAGTGCTCAGGACACCTTAATGAAAATAAGGGGGAAAAAAGCTGAGATAAATAGGTAGAACAAGAGAAAAGAAAAATCTCTGCCTAAGAGGGAAGGTATTCCAGATGATCTTGTTATGGGATTTTCATATATATATACATTCTAGCAATCTAACATGACAGCCTTAAATTGCTGACTCATAGCATTACTTAGAAATGAATTTGAACCTTGGAAAACTGCAGAGTTCAGTTTGTAATTTTCCAAACCTCTTGATCTCAAATTCAAAATGTAAATTTTATAAGATTAGACTTCAAAAGACTTCACTGTAATATAGTACTTAACAATTATTGGGAGGTGGAAGGGGCTGTATCATGTCTTCCATAATCACATATTTGGTCCTTTTCAAATATTCCAAAAAGCCATTTGAAAATGTAGTGTGTGTGTGTGTGTGTGTGTGTGTGTGTGTGTGTGTGTGTGTGTGTAGTTTGTATTAGGGAAGAAGTTAGAATACACCTTATGAGGAAAAAAGAAACAAAAAACACAAACAAATTTAGAGAAACAAATCATATTGATTGTTCATTATGTGCCGTGTCTAATAGTCTCACTATATTTTAAAAAGAACTAGTTCCAGCTTAAAAAAAAAAATAAGGGAATAAGGCTCAAGTTCCTTTTCTCTCCATACAAGCTTGTTTTCTAAACTCAACTCACATATTTTTTTAAAAGACACTTTTCACACACTGGATAAATGCCTCACTCTGCACTGAGTGGTGAAATGAGGGCAGGTCAGGGGGAGAGCTATGTCTGGCAATCCACCTGCCTCTGTTAAGAACTTTTATTATCCATGAAATTTATCTTTGGCACTTTCTTTTCTAAATAAATTTTCCATCTCTGCTTGCATCAGAAATGAAAAGACTGAAACCACGTTCTTTGCCAGCTTTTTACTTTTTATGAAAACAGTTAGTACCTTTTACAAGAGAATTTAATTTGCAATGGTGTCTTCACTGCAAGTAGAGAGAATGAAGGAAGATAAAGGAAGACAAAGGAGAAGAAATGAGGATCAAGAGGGAACAGATGGCAGAATAGCATCTACAGTGTGCCCAGCATCCTGCTCAGAGCTTTAGCAGGTGTCAGCAAACTATCGCAAGGACAAAAAACCAAACACCGCATGTTCTCACTCATAGGTGGGAACTGAACAATGAGAACACATGGACACAGGAAGGGGAACATCATACACTGGGGACTGTTGTGGGATGGGGGGAGAGGGGAGGGATAGTATTAGGAGATATACCTAATGCTAAATGACGAGTTAATGGGTGCAGCACACCAACATGGCACATGTATACATATGTAACTAACCTGCACGTCGTGCACATGTGCCCTAAAACTTAAAGTATAATAATAATAAAATAAAAAATAAAAATAAAAATAAAATAGAAAGTAAGATGCGGCCAGGCACGGTGGCTCACGCCTGTAATCCCAGCACTTCGGGAGGCTGAGGTGGGTGGATCACCTGAGGTCAGCAGTTCAAGACCAGCCTGGCCAACATGGTTGAAACCCCATCTCTACTAAAAATACAAAAATAAGCTGGGCATCTTGGCGTGCACCTGTAATCCAAGCTATGCAGGAGGCTGAGGCAGGAGCATTGCTTGAACCTGGGAGGCGGAGATTGCAGTGAGCCAAGATGGTGTCATTAGACTCCAGCCTGGATGGCAGAGCAAAACTTCATCTCAAAATAAAAAAAAAAAAAAAGAAGTAAGATGCTTCCCCGCCTGAAAGAAGACATATGGCTATCACATGCAGGTAGGCAATGAAGGTCACACCTCTGATAATTCTTCTTTTCTTTACTGTGAATCCACCCTGCCCCAGTCTCCTGCATATCTGGTCATTCAAGTGCACAAATAGGAAAATAGAACGTTAGAGAGGGAAAAGATCTTAGAGCTTCCCCTGCTCCTAACTTTATGTTATATACAGATAAAGAAACTGAGGCTCAGGGATGGGACACTTCGAGGACACAGAGTTGTTGACATTGCTGATTTGAACTAAAGCCTTTGACTTCTCTCCAAACTTTCTGATGGAGCATGAAAGCAAGAAATTACGGAGTAAAAATTATTCTTTCTAAGAAAATATATATATTTGATTCTTCTAATAGATCAGGGCCAGTAAACTACAGCCTCTGGACCACATCTGGCCTGCTGTTTTTGATAGTTTGTTAGATCACGGTCACACTCATAGAGTTTTGTATTGACAATGGCTGCTTTCATGCTACAACATAATTACAATGTAATTACAATGTAATGATGACAGCCTGTATACCTGCAAAGGTTAAAATATTTGCTACTTGTCCCTTTGTAGAAAAAATGTTTGCTGACCCTTAACCTAGCTTACTACTTTGTGAGGCCAGGGAATATCACTGCTTTGTCCACCACTGTATCCCTAGCATCTAGCTTGATGGGTCTTCAAAACTTTGTTTAATAAGAAATTGATAAATTAGGTCAACTCAAATATCCAAGTGAAAATTTGTAGAGTTGGATAAACAATGGAGAACTTTAAAGTGATCTGAGTGAACAGATAAGTTTTAGAGGCTTTGAAGATTTTGCAGTTTGAATTAATTTCTGCCCAAGTGCCATGTTTGTGCAGAGTAAAGGTAAGACTAGTACCTCCTGTCTAACTTAATTCTCCACTGTCCTTTTTTACTGTCTTAGGTGTTGCTTGCCAAATATTCAAATTTTTCCCATTTGGGGCTGGGCCATGTGGCTAGTTTTAGTGGATGAGTTTAAGTGGAAGTTGAGATATGTCGTTTTCAAGCAGCGCAGTTCTTTGGTAAGACCCTCCAGAGTTCTGTGTTTTAGTCACAGTTACCAAAAATGCTCCCAATAGTGACCGATCTATCAACCTGGGCCCCTGATGCAGAAATGGGCAGGCAGAATGGAGGTCGCAGCTGAATCTCAATGACATGTAGTATAAGCCACAGATAATATTCCTGCTATATTTATTTGTATGCTAATTTTTCAAGAAAGCAAATGTCACCTCCCCACCTAAATACAAATCCCTTGACACCATCCAAAACCATGCTTATCACTCACCGAATTCCTCAAAACACCTCTTAACTTGATTTGAATGGATCACAGTCCTGATACATTATTTATTCAGTCTTTCAATAAGTCTTTAATGATGCCTACTGTGTGTATGGAAGAGATTGACTAGTTGTTAATCAAACCTTTTTCCTTTTCCTCCTGGACATACAGTCAGACCACATTTCCCAGTCTCTCCTATAGCTACATGTAATCTTGTGACTGACTTCCAGCCAGTGAAATGTGGGTAGAGTAATTCTGAATGAGTTCTCTCCTGGCATGTAAAAATATCCTGCCTTGACTCCCACTTTCTTTCTTTCCTTATTTATTGATTGCCTTGTGATGATAGCAGAGCCTCCATCAGGCTAAGTTTCTGAAGGACTGTGTGGAGTAGAATCTCCAGTCCTTTCACATCCACCTACCATTTGGACTTTACTTGAATGAGGAATAAAGCTTTTATTGTGGTATGCCATTGAGAGTTAAGGTTTTAACTTTACAGCTGCTAGCATTACCTTAACTAAGAAAGCAATCTGGGAGTGAGGGATTACAACTTTTAACATATGGTCAGGAAGTTCTCATTAAGAAGGTGACACTGGAGCAAACTTGTAAGAGCAGAGGGAGAAGCTGTGTAAACATGTGGAGAAAGAATGGTCTAGGCAGAGGGAACGGTGTGTGCAAAGTCCCTGAGGCAAAAGCACGCCTGGCATGGTCAAGGATGGCAGTCAGCTCAGTGTGATTTAAACAAAGGATGGTGGATGAAGTAAATGAGAGCAGAAAGATGTTGCCAGATTTTACAGGGCTTGACAACTTTATAATACAATTCTAGCCACTGAAACTAGGCTTGTAGTTTATATGCCCAAAGGGCATTTTTTATTTTTTATTTTTATTTTTTTGAGATGGAGTCTCACTTTGTCACCCAGGCTGGTGTGCAGTGGCATGATCTCAGCTCACTGCAACCTCTGCCTCCCAGGTTCAAATGATTCTCCTGTCTCAGCCTCCTGAGTAGCTGGGATTACAGGCATGTACCACCATACCCAGCTAATTTTTGTATTTTTAGTAGAGATGGGGTTTCACCATGTTGGCCAGGCTGGTCTTGAACTCCTGACCTCAGTGATCTACCCGCCTCGGCCTTCCAAAGATCTGGGATTATAGGCGTGAACCACCGCTCCAGGCCCCATTGTGCTCTTTTTCAAGCCCATGCTGAATCATATGACTGCATCTGAGTATCTTATACTAAATGATAAAATAAATGATAGTATAAATGAACTCTCCTTGTTATAATATTATGGGCACACTTTTAAGCTTCATACTCCATTTTAACTTTCCTTTGCAAGTATAGCAAAATTCTGTGCTCATATAGATTCAGAGAAAGGAGTTAATACAACTTAACTATTTCCTATGAATCAGGATATAGGCACAACTAAATCATGACTTTTCCTACAAGAAGGGAGAAAAACTTAAAATCACTCCATACCTCATACAGACTCATAGGATGTTAGTGATTGCTGTCAGTGCAATGGGAGGTCAATATGAGATTTTCCAAATATTTCATTCCACTCTGGAATTTGTCTTAACAATTGTCTTTTCAGGTGAGCTTAAGGTGAAAAAAGATAACTGAATGCCTGTTCTTCTATTCCCTAAATATAATTAAGTCAAGAGGCTTACTGGACACGGCCATTAGTATTAGTTTTCTGTCATCTTAATATCTAAATAGCATAAAATTAAGTAGTTTACTATAGTTACAAAATGACCAGTAGTAGAAAAATGAATGAGCAAATGCTGCAAATAGAAAATTTATAAAAGGAGAAAGTAAAATGCCTAGTATGTAACTGAAAAATATCTAATTGGCACAGTAATAAAAACTTCAGGGATGTACACCATTTTAAAAAGTATCAATTTGGTAAATTTAAATAAATCATAATGACCCTTTTAGACAAACATAGGAAAATTGCTCTCTCGTACAATAGTGGTATAACAATGTAAACTAAAAAAAAGAGAGAACAATTTGGAAATATATACTGAAATTCTTAAAAGTATACATGATTCCTAGCTCTGCCCACTGAGAAGGCCTAGAATTAATACAACTCTAGTGGCAATGAGCACAACTAGTGCCTAGATCTTGGTTAGTCAATACCATTCACCAGTCAAAGAAACCAAGGCTCCTTGAAGAAATGGTTTATTTTGGGGCTGAGCAGAAAAAACACAAAGTAAGAAACCTGAAGCACCCCACAGTGCCAGAAAGTTAGAAAAGAGAAACAAAGAATGTAGGACCCCAAACTGAAAGAGTTGGCCAAAGGCAGAAAACATGAGAAACAAATAAATAAAGACTGTATTGGATTGTAAGTCAAAGAATCAATAAATGTTTTGGATCCATACTAATGACCAGTCAAGCAAGTAACCAATCATTTAATGGAGAAGAGGAAATCTCTTACATGAGAATTCCAAGCAATGTATGCGGTGGACTTAGTGACTTGGTTCCAAAGAATAAAGTATGGAAATAGAAAAATTGTAGCTGTGGAAAAATCTAGCAGACACCACTTTAACCAAGTGGTAAAGATGAAGATTACCAGTAATAAGTCGTGATGACATCAGGTGCTCTCTTATATGATGCAATGAGAAGATTACCACAACTCTCTTCCCTCAAATACTAATAATCCTAGTCTAATAATGACAAAACATCAGATAAACCCCAAATGAGGATGTTCAGCTAAATACCTGATAAGTTCTCTTCAAAAACGTCAAGGTCTTGTAACATAAGGAAAGCCTAAGTTGTCACAGACTTTAGGCGACAAAGGAGACATGAGGACTAATGGAATATAGGATCCTGGATTGGATCCTGGAAGATGGAAGGTCAATGTATGGAAAAACTGGTGAAATCTTCATAAAGTCTATAGTTTAGAAAAAAACATTTTGATCAAGCAGTATTACTCCTAGGTAATTATCCTGTGGAAACTCTTATGATGTATGATATCAGTTCTCAAACTTTAGCATATAACAGAATCACCTGCAGGGACTGCTATAATCAGATTTCTGGGCTCCGGTCCCAGAATTGTTATCCAATATATCTGCAGGGAGCAAGGGCCGGAGAATTTGCATTTCTAACCAGTTTTCAGGTGCTGCTGCTCAACTGATCTGGGAATCTCACTTTGATAAACCCTGACATATGTAAACATTTGCTATAAGAATATTTACTGTCATAATTATGTATTGGATTACATAATTTTTCTTCTCTTCTCTTCTCTTCTTTTCTTTTTTTGAGACAGGGTCTCACTCTATCGCCCAAGCTAGAGTCCAGTGGTACAATCTAGGCTCACTGCAACCTCCGCCTCCTGGGTTCAAGTGATACTCCTGCCTCAACCTCTCGAGTAGCTGGGATTACAGGCACCTGCTACCACACCCAGCTAATGTTTGTATTTTTGGTAGAGATGGGGTTTTGCCATATAGCTCAGGCTGGTGTGGAACTCCTGGTCACAAGTAATCTGCCCACCTCAACCTCCCAAAGTGCGGGGATTACAAGCGTGAGCCACCGTGTCCGGCCATTTACTATCTTTTTCTTATTAATGTTTTCAAACATTTAAAAATATTTTCAAATGCTTCTATAATATTTGTACTGCTTTTGCAGTAAGATAAAAATATTAGTTTAAGTTAAAAAGGCAACCCTTTCTGACATGATGTTCTTAATATTTAGATGAGATTTTTGTGTTTCCGAAGGATGGCTGATGCACAGGGAATTCTTTTAGTGGCTGCTTTTTAAAACTAATGTTCAATTCATTAAAGTGACAAATTAAAAACCCTAGTTTTCCCTTAAGCTTTTAAGTTTAACCTAAAAATAACATTATCACAGTTATAAGTCTACTGATACTTAACAGTCATTTCCAAGATAACTAATTAATATTTTGACACTCTTCTGAATATTCTGTCCCATTTACAAACATAGCTAAACTGCCTTAAAATAATTTAAACTTCATTTATAAATTTAATATAATAGATTCTATTACTATATATTTTAAATATCTGTTCAACAAGCAAAACTTTCCCAGATCCTTTGACATTGCAAGTTAATGTATTAAATTATACTTTAAAAACATAATATAATCTCAAGTTCTTTAAAATAGCCTAACATTATTTATAAACAGTCAAAATCTCATACATTTCAACTTAAAATTCCAAGTCTAAACTGAATGACTCAACTACATGTTTTATGTTTCCTCATAAAGCTAATCTTTTAGAATTTTAAAATGCCAAATTCTTTTAAATGTGACAATCATTTGAAATGCTGGAAACCCAGATTATTCCTAAACCTAACATAAATGATCAGTTCGATGGCTCTGATTTAGTTTTTTGTATATGTGCTGTTGTGGGCTGTCTTGTATGTCCAGCCTCAACCCTCAAATTCATATGTTGACATCCAAACCCTCACTATCTCAGTATATGACCTTATCTGGAGATGAGGTCTTTACAGACCTTAAGATTAAGTTAAAATGAGGGAACAGAGAGTGATACCATAAGAAGGTGGGAAGAATGCACTTTGAAGACCATGTTGGCCATTTCACAAGTTGGGGAGAGCAGGTGAGCTGAGAGCTGATAACTGAAAGGAAGTCAGTATGAAGCAGCAAAAAGAACTTAGCTCCTCATTGGGAGGAGTAAAATGTGTTAATAGACAAACACCCTAGTGAAGTTAATGTATTCATCCATTCCACATGTAAAACACACTCATTTGGAATAAGTGACGTTATCTAGCAGAGTCCACTGTTAGCATATTCATAATCCCTGAGTAACTGAGAAAGACAGTTTCTCTGAGCCCCTGTATTGGTTTCTTTTTCTTCTTTGTTTTGCTTCCCCACTCCCCTAAAGATCCTGCCTGGAATTGCCTCTCAAACTACATGCACTCAAGTCCTTGGTTTGATATTCCAATCTATGACAGTAATGCACATTTATAAAATTGTATCTGGAGAGAGAAAGCTAATCTGGATATTTTGGGGGATGGTGGTAAGGGAGCAATCTCCTATTGTTGTAGTATAAAAAAACAGTGAATTTGGAGTCGGAAAACTTGTATTGGAATCTTAATTCTATCATGTATTAGATCAGTGCACTTGGGAAATGGACCTCTTTGAATCCCCAAATCCTAGTTTATAAAATGAAGGTAATAAATGATTATCAAATGAGGTAATCTATGCCAAAGTGTCAAGCACATAGTAGGTACTCAGGAAATAGGAATTTCCTTTCTTATTGTTTATATATTTGTGTTATTGATACATAGTTGAAAAGATAATGTGATGTTGTAGAGAGAAAAGGTTCTATATCAAACAAACTTACTTTTAACTTCAGTCCTGGCTTCAGACCATGATCCTGGGTCCAGTATTCAATAGAAGAAATAGTAGCTTTCCCCTCTTCCAGAACTAAGATTATTAAAGGCCTTTGTATTAAAGAGATAGAGAGATTTTACTCTAACAGATGTCCAAATGTGTATGATGTAATCTGAATTGTAATGTGGAATTAAAATATTGCATACCATGATCCCATCCATCAATTCAAACACCCCTCTTCAATTTGATGTTAAAAGCTTTATTACTTTATGATTGTGGAAAATTTGTAGACAATGTATTAGAACAAAAATCCATTGCAATGTGTTAGCACAAATCTGAATTTTAGGCTCAATAGGCCAGTCTTTTGATAGATTTATCAAGTGACTTGTATCTGAATGGTTAATCAGGTGTATTGATAATGCTGGACAACTCAGAGCCATATTGTATATGCAATATTCACACACATATACACACACACTAGGGTATTTATTTAACATGTATATGATTGTTAGTTTATGTCAGTCACTTTAGTTCCAAGAATCAAAGAACTTGGCCCTATTAGCCAGAACTTAATTGTCTTGGTCACTTATCCCTGCTGAAGACAGAATGATTATTAATCCTGAATTTTATAAGGGTCCATTCACTGATATTGGCAATGTGTTCCTAATTTTAAAAATCATTGATTTTACTCTATTCAAGCAAATGTTAATTTGGATGTAGAACTTGAAGGCTTAACTTTGTCACACTGATCATTGGGCTTTGCAGGGATTAAAAACTAAATGTGAAAATTCTCTCAGTGAAGTTGTGTTGAATTCAATTTTGAGCTATTACCTGTACATGGAAAACATGAATAATGAAATAATAGTAGGTATTTTAAAAAGAACACATATTTTATGGCATTATCCTAAATACTTTATGCACAACATACCAATATATTCTCATAACCTGCATATAGAGTAAGGCCATCCCATTTTCAGTGAGAAAACAGAGGTTACGGGAAGAGAAATTATTATCCATGGCCTTGTGCTAATAGATGTTAGAATGGGGCTTTGGAACAGATACCATTGACTTCAAAATTTTTGTACTCACTAGTACCCTATAATGATTCATGATCAAACAAAATTTTACCTAAAATTCCAAGAGTCTCACAACAGCCTTCCAATCTTGTGCCTGGGCCCAAGGACTCTGGGCCAAGAATCTTTTTACTAGTTGCTGCCACTCATGCATGCCCCAGCTTCTCGGCTTCTCCAGAGTTTAATCCCTTCATTAAAAACCACCATTGTTCTCTTTTGTTGACAAATTTGAGATGTCCTTTTTGATTTTGACATGAAGGGACCCTGGATAAGGCCTCATCTCCTTTCTAGCTCCATTCCCTTATGGGCTTTGTCTCCACTTCAGAACTACATGACTTCCAATTCAGTCAAACAGAGCTTCTTGCTATTCTCCCTGTACCAGCTTCTGAGGGCTGCGGTAACAAAGGCCCACAGACTGGGCGGCTTAAACAGCAGAAATGTATTGCCTCACAGTTCTGGAGGCGGAAGCCTGAGATCAACATGACAGCAGGGCTGGTTCCTCCTGAGGGCCATCAGGGAGGAATCTGTTCCAGGTCTCTCCTTCAACTTCTAGTGCTTTGCTGGCAATCTTTGGTGTTCCTTGGTTCCTGCTGCACCCTACCCCCAATCTCTGCACTCATCTTCACATGGTATTCTCCTTCCATGCTTGTCTTTGTTGAAATTTCCCTGTTTTATAAGGACACCAGTCATACTGGATTAGGGGCTCACCTTATTCCAGTATGACTTCATCCCGTCATCCTAATTACACCGTCAATGACCCTATTTCTTTTTTTTTTTTCTTTCTTTTTTTTTTTTTGAGACAGAGTCTCGCTCTGTTGCCCAGGCTGGAGTATAGTGTCGTGATCTTGGCTCACTGCAACCTCTGCCTCCTGGGTTCAAGTGATTCTCCTGCCTCAGCCTCTGAGTAGTTGGGATTACAGGCACCTGCCACCACCCCTGGATAATTTTTGTATTTTCAATAGAAATGGGGTTTGATTATGTTGGCCAGGCTGGTCTTGAACTCCTGACCTCAAGTGATCCTCCCACCTCGGCCTCCCAAAGTGCTGGGATTACAGGCGTGAGCCACTGCACCCAGCCCCAATGACCCTATTTCTAACTAAGGTCACATTCCATGGCACTGGGGCTAGAGCCTCAACATATGACTTTCAGGCAAACACAATTCAAACTATAACACCTCCTGGTACACCAAACAGTTCTGTGTTTTCAGCCCCAGAGGATGCTCTTTTAGGCTGTTCTTTCCCTACTACTTTAGAGTGAATTTCTAGTCAACATTTAAGGCTGTCCCCAAAGTAAATGTTTTTGCGAAGACATCTCTAACTCTTGCAGGTTGTTGGTTACCATTTCCAAACCTGAAGGATGCTCTTCTTGATCTGATAGCCCTCCTTACATGTGAGGGTATAAGTTGTCATTTCTTTTGAAACAGTAAGCCCTTCAAGGGCGGTATCCATGTCTTTTTCACTTCTGTCTCTTTAGTGCTATCACGGTGTCTGGCACACAGTGAGTGACCAGTAAAAGTTGTGGAGTGAGTAAAGCAAACATTCTCCTTACTATATTAGGGTCCTTCTAACTTTCTGGTAAAGGACAAGTAAGGGGTGGTCTTCTTGAGACTATTAATCTTACAAAATATGAGACTTCATGTTTAAGGATATGGGTATTGAAAACTTTTGCTTTGCTAAATAAAATAAAAGAGCTAAGATGATATTTCTGGTGAAATTGTCTGATGGCATTTCTCATGTCCAATGTCTAAAATTTGCCAAGCTTCAGCTTCATGCAGTCTCTCCCACTTCCTGGCTGGTGTTTAGCCATTCCAGAGGTCGACCAGATGCTTGCACAGCTGTCTTGTGTGCTCTTGACACTTTCCAAAGTTAGGCTACACATCAGGAATGAGAAGCTATGAACTTTCCTGGTAATTTTTCCAGGGCCTGCCATCTCAATATGTGTCTTGCTTGTTGGTATCCACAGGCTCAAACCAGTTGGAATTTGAAGGCAAATCCCAGCTAACTACTTCATTCGAGGTGGAAACTGTAATGATAAATGCGTGACTCCATTAAGCAGAGTCTCTGTGGTGGAAACACAGTGATGAATGCAATTCTGAGTTCTATCAGTCCTACTGGGATACAAGTTGTTTAGTAGTCACAAATGGCTTAGCCATAATGCAGTCAGCATTCCCAAAGTAAAGCATTTCCATTCCTGTTACTACAAAGGATAAATTAGCTCCTACAAGGGAGGGAATAGAAATAGCTCCTCAAACACTGTCTTTAAGAGGTTGCTTAAAACCCTCACCATGACTGTCTCCATCACAGACAGCTGTGTTATTTGTTGATTTTAATACTGATGATTTGCATTCACGTAATAAGGACTCAGAATTACTTTACAAATAGTCTCATTACACCTTGCACTGCTGTTGCAAAGTAAGTACATGGTTAATTGTATTTTGTTCATTTTTCTAGGCAGGATCAGGAGCCATTGAGTTTAATTTACCTAGAGCATACACTGATTTAATAATACACAAGATTGAGAAAACAACTGCAAAGTAATGTGGTTTATTTTCTTAACAGACATTCTAGAAATTCAATATCACAATCTAGAATATAAATGAAATGTCCTTATTTAAATGTTGCTGACATTGCCAGAATTTAGCTTTGGGTAGCCTTAGTGGTAAAAGTACATGATTTGTCCTTTGGCATTTTAGAAATGGTCAGACGACATCCAGAACCAAGTCTGGTGAATACAGTGTGTGGCCCCACTGCCTGACAGAGATTGGTGATCAGAAATAAAACACTGATTTCTATTCAGGTATACCTTCTAATGTAGCTGTTCTGTAAATTTTCACATTGCCTGAAATGTTTTCAAATACAGCAGCATTACTGGAAAAAGTATATACAGCCTCTCAAGAGATGTGTATGATAAGTCAGCATTTGAATATATAGGTTTGGGTATATTTTCTCTTAATAGCCCCTTGGCCAGGCACAGTGGCTCACACCTTTAATCTCAGCACTTTGGGAGGTCGAGGTGGGAGGATCACTTGAGGTCAGGAGTTCAAGACCAGCCGGGCCAACATGGTGAAACCCCATCACTACTAAAAATACAAAAATTAGCCATGTGTGGGGGCACGCACCTGTAATCCCAGCTACTCGGGAGGCTGGGCAGGAGAATCACTTGAACCCAGGAGGCAGAGGTTGCAGTGAGCCAAGATCACACAACTACACTCCGCCTGGGTGATAGAGCAGGACTCCATCTGAAAAAAAAAATAAAATAAAAATAAAAATAAATAAATAAATAAATAACATAGCCCCTCAACCCCACTCCCACCTCACTTGCCCTACCACCATCAATGATTTGGTCTCAATTCTTCCTGTACCCATAAAAAGGGTTTCTGAGTTTGTATACCCATTTTAGAGTTCCATGCCTCTGAGAACACACTACACCTCCTGTCCAACTTAAATATTTGCTTCTTACATTACACTCCAGTTTTGGTATCTGTTGTAGACTCAGACCCTGACTAAGGAATGGATCAGCCCAGAAGATGTCTAGGATGCTAATCTTTGTGGAGCGCCAAACGTTACAAGTGTGACCAAATCTTTCTGAAAAGGAAAGGAGACTGAGAAAATTGTAACTGCTCAAATTCCTCTTCTTACTCTACTAATAAAAGCCAATGCTTATATGTAGTCCAGTCTGTAGCAGGCATTGTTAGAAGTGAATAAACTTTATTAACTTCTTTAAATCTCACAACTTAATGATGTAGATATGATTATTATTCTCATTTTACAGATGAGGAAACTGAGGCAGAGAGAGGTTAAAAAGTAGCACGGCTAGGAAGTGCCATATCTCATATGATGAATACTAAAGTTACTATGGAAAATACTTCAAAAATCTCTTTAAGAAATGCCCGAAACCACTGCCCCACCAGGTTATATTTGAGAATTGTAACATGTTCATTTCATTTAGCTCCTCACTAAGGAGGATAAGCCCAGAGGGCAGCTGGGGTTTTTGCTTGGCTGAGGGTATGTACATTCTGTGGCCAGAACTGATTGTTCAGGGCAAGGAAGAGAGTAAGCCCAGCTGCCTGCTGCCAGGCCCTTCTCTGTCCTTCCCCCAGGCAGCTCTCAATTTCTTCTCCAAGTCAATGTGAACAAATGACCCAAGTATGCACGCTGGAAAGGGTAGCAGTGTATTAGTCTGCTTGGGGTGTTAAATTATTAGCCTGCATGAAAAGCCTATATATCTTTGTCAGAAGCTGCTCAGGTTGAATGTATTTTCATGAAAATAGGCCCTGAAATAATTCAAAAAAGGAAAGGAGAGGTAGAACAGCAGAAAGTTCAGAGCACAAGTGATACAGGCACTAGCATTACGTCCTGATGATAGGATGGGACTTGTCTCTCTAAGCCACGAGAACTCCCACTAAGAGACTGTGGAATGGGCTTTGTTGGCTTGTTTTTGTCCTGTGGGAGAGAAGCTCGGCTGTGGTTGTACTGCCTTATGACACTGGGGTGTTTGCTGAAGTGGTGGAACCTTTTTCCTCCTCAGGAAAATCTAAGTTCTTCACATCAAGATTCTCAAAGAATTTTACATACATGCAGCTGAACTAGGCCATCATTAGGCCAGAAACATAGAAATGGAGTTTTATGTTAGGAAGAGATTGCCATGCCTGCATTAAGGAACTTGACTCAGGCCAACAGAGATATGCTACATAGAAAGTTTATCAGCAGTCTGGGCACAGTGGCTCATGCTTGTAATCCCAGCACTTTGGGAGGCTGAAGTGGGCGGATTGCTTGAGGTCAGCAGATTTTTATGGATGCACCATAAAGAATGTGTCATAATTACATTATCTTCCCTTCCTAATATCCACACTATCCCCGTGGACCCACTCTGCCAGCAACTACTGTTTCTTCAAATTTGTCTTGCTTTTTGCATAAAGAACTGTTTTCTTAAAGTCCTGTTTCTGTTTAGGAAACTCTCATGAATCCAGATGACGCTGAAATATAAACCCCAATGGTATGTATTTCCAAGCTTCCAACAAATATATTGCTCTGTATTCTCAACTAGCTTAACTTTGATCCCTAACTAAAAAATGTTTGCTGGTCCCATCAACATATGCATTTATGAGATCACCAATAAGATAGTATGATTTCAGGGGGTCTAGGAAAGGTGGTAATCCCCATATATTTCTCTCATTCACTTGGATGTAGCCTGCTATTTCATTATTAGCATTTCTTTCATTTGCTTAAGATTTTGATCTTGTGAAGGGTGCTCCCTCCTAAGAGATAAGCATTTCAAACTTACACTTCAGTGTGAAGGACTTTTCTGAAGGCAAATAAGATAGGTCAATATTCACAGAATATGAGGGTACTTGAAGTAAAAGAAGAAGCTGTCACTACATACAGGATATTTCATGTGTGTGTGTGTGTATGTGTATGTGTGTGTCATCAGAGATCTGAAATACACAAACATGGTTATCATCTTACACAAAAATCCAAAGATGTTTCATTTCAGTAAATTGATTTATGTTAACTAAGGATCCAGGAGGCAGTCTATAATTCATGTTGCACTTCTAGTTAAGTTTAGAGGGAGGAATATTTGGCTAGAGAACTGTGATCTGTTATCTGCATGGATCCAGAAATCAGACATCCAAATTTTCAAGAACCACACTACATTTCAAGCCTTCTGTCACATATTCACCCCAATACACTCATATCTGTAGAACTATATGTCCAGATTGTTGATCTAGACTATCTGAAAAATGCCAATCCTACTCTTAGGCCAACCCTTTTAGGTAGGTTATCTATTCAGAAAGACATACCGTTTTCAAAGTTTCGCCTATTGGTTCTGGAGTCAGAGATAAACTTTCTCTATGAGAATATGGTTCAACAGACCCATCATCTTTTCCTTTTTTGCATTATCTCCTAGAGAAGAATTCTACGAATTTTGCACCATGCTAGTTTCCTAAAATCCAGTTCCTTTTTCCTTGATCTTTATTTAAGGTCATGATCCAGAAAACCTTAAGAATCATTTCTATCATCTGATCTCTTCTTCTTAATTCCTTGTTAATTTCACTCTACCTATAATTTACAGTGGGTATAACATTTCACATTCACAAATGTACATGTGCAAAAATGTGTTTTTGCAAAACTAAACTTAATGTAGCTTTACAACCTTATAGTATCTGTTTCCACAAGATAGCCAAAAACTTATACCAATTCAAAGTTATTCACTCACTTCCAATTAAGAACTTTGTATCTTTGTGTGCCACCAGATCAATCCAGGAGTTTCTCTACTTTGCTATCCTTCTCCATAGAAGTTAAATAAGTTTCCAGGTGGCTGAAATATTGTGACTTATTGTCCTGGGATAAGGTGAGGGCTATCTGGCCTTCCTGTTACATCATGTCCTCTTTGACCGTTGCTAAGATGTGGCTTGTAACACTTGATCGTGCACATCCATTTCTGGCCCTGCTACATCTGCTGTGGTTATCTGAGACCCAAGCTCAGACCCCAGACAACACTTGACATCATGTAAGCCCAACAAGCAAAGCCAGTTAGCCCCTTCTGTGCTCTTCCTTCAGGGCTGACGAATTCTTGCCGGCCTTTTCCAGGCTACACTGAGGTGCTCACATTGATGCCCTGCCTTTCAAGTATCCACTTCAGCTTTGGTTGGACTTGGAGCACTTCTAAGAGGCCTGCAGTCTCCTAGACTATCCTCTGATAGGCCAGGTCTTCTCTTCTAAGACCTAAGGTTTCTGACAGTGTTTACATAATCCATCCTGAACAACAGATTCATTCTAAGATACCAAGCAGTTACTCCTGGCCCCTGATTCTTCCTTCCTACTCTCTGGATGCACCTTTGTCTCTTGGGGGTGGGAACCTGCTCTGGGATCATTACTCAAGATATCCCCCCTCTACAAGTCATGCCATAAACATTCTACTATGAGCCCTCCATCGTTGTCAGGATTTGGAGTTTAATAAAACTTTTTTTTTTTTTTTTTTTGTGAGACAGAGTCTCACTGTGTTGCCCAGGCTGGAATGTAGTGGCGCCATCTCACTGCAAGCTCTGCCTCCCGGGTTCACACCATTCTCCTGCCTCAGCCTCCCGAGTAGCTGGGACTACAGGTGCCCACCACCATGCCCAGCTAATTTTTTGTATTTTTAGTAGAGATGGAGTTTCACCATGTTAGCCAGGCTGGTCTCGATGTCCTGACCTCGTGATCTGCCCGCCTCGGCCTCCCAAAAAACTTTTTTCTGTAAGAAATTCCAGCTCATACTGTAGCAGGACTTGCACTTATGGCTCGTATTTCTGCTATTTTCAGCAATGTCTGATTTGATGTTGGAAATTTAGTAATAATTTATTTCTTTCTGGCAGTTTCTGGTCACCCCTGGGGACAGTACTTATGGAAGATAGTTTTGGTTTTCTTAGGGACTTCCAGTAAGCTGAAACTTCCCTCTATTCCTTCATATTTTATTTAAAGCTTGTTTCCATAAAAGTCATCACAAAATAAACCACTTTATCATCTTTGTTTTTTTTTTCTTTTTGTACAGGCATTGCTTGCTACATTTATTAACTTGTCAAGGTTACTTAATCTAAGGGTTGTGTCCCTGTGAAAGACAAAATGCACTTGGTAATTAAAGAGATTATTTTATTCAGTCAAACCATTCATTAATGAAGAGCAAGAACACCTGGGGTTTAGAAAGGCAGGTAAACAAGAGGGCCATGAAGAAGGATAGGCAGGGAGACTTAGAGGTTTGGAGAAGAGTGTGGAGGGCATTCTTATTGTGGAATATACCAGGCAGGGTGATTCTTGGTGGTTAGCCGTTTCCCAGAACACCAGTAAAGGATTAAAGTTCAACATCGTCAGTTCTCCTTTTTGTTCAAGAAGAATATTATTCTTTGTTCTGTAATCTGATGATTACTTAGAAGGTTAAAAAAAAAGCCAACAAAAAAAAAACCCTTTACAAACTTTTACTAAAGCAGACAAGGTAAACACAAGCTCTTTTTAAAAATCCTGTAAATAAACCCATCAAACCTTAACTAACTTTGACCATGGTAAATAAATTTCCCCTTTGTTTTTTTGGAGAACTTTGTACATCTATTCAGGTTTTGTCTTGCACAACAACAGTCAGTCATTTCACCTTAGGACAAAACCATTCTTTTCAGCAGACAAGCTGAGCTCATGAATTATACAACTCACAACTTTCTGCAGCCACCCATTCCTTATAGTACAACTTTACGAAGTGGTAAAAATCAGCATGTTCATTAACAGGCCCAAGTATATAATCTCCAAGTAACAGAAAATAAGAGGCAAAATATAGATAAACTTAAGACTTTGCTTTGTTTCAGTACTCTGTCTTACTAGGAAATGATTTAGGTATTCAATAAATATCTATCAATTAACTAACTTTAGTGTAAATCTGAGGTTTTAAGTTGCCTAAAGATCTTGGAAATTATCTTCAAGCTGACATACTATAAAACAAAATTACTATTGAAATAAGGTTTGTCATGATAATAATTTATTTGGTTAAACACAAATTTATACTTTCCATAATTTTAAACATTAATCTTAAACATTAGTAATACAAGCTTAATAAATCAGTAAACTTGTATACATTTACACAGAACATTCCCAAATAGAAATAAAAATCTATGTATATATTATGCTTAACCCTGATAAATCAGAGAAGACATAGCTGTTTTTATTAAAACCAAAAATATTAAACTAGTCTTGTTTGCCAAAGCTTTATCTAAATTATGTGAACTTGAATTCCTAAATCATATCCAAGTTAGTTTCTGTAAAAATAATTTTTAAATCAAGACATTGAAAGTATTTGAGATTCAGTTTTCACTTATTTTTTATTTTTTAATTTTTTTCCTTTTTGTGGAGAACGGGATCACACTATATTGCCCAGGCAGGTCTCCAACTCCTGAGCTCAAGCTATCGTCTCACCTCGGCCTCCCTAAGAGCTGGGATTACAGGCGTGAGCCACCGCGCCCAGCTAGATTCAATTTTCTTAATTTCTGGAAATATTAGGAATATTCAATTTATATAAGTATTTACTTATCTCTGAAATAACAAGAATAGAGCACCATTAAGAGATTTTATAATCTAATGACTAATATCATCCTGTGGTAGAGAAATGTTACACATTCACACATGACAGGTAAAGGCCTCTCTGAATTATAAATACATAAACCTGCAGGCATAGAGAGAGCTTACAGTTTCAATTCTGAAATTTTAGCCATGGGTCAAGTATAAATACATAATTACAAAACTCATTGGTTCATATCAAAGAGCTGTTCTTTTCACAGCAGGTATGAATCCTCAATTTATTTGAGCTAAATATGGACAGGTAGGCAAACATAAGAGATTAACACACTAGATTGTCCGTCAGCTCTCACCCAAGAGAGACAAGACTTCTATAAAATTATTAATCTATTTACAGAGATCACCAAATGGTCAGACCACAAAATCAAAAGAAGCCACAATCCAGCCGGGCATGGTGCCTCATGCCTGTAATCCCAGCACTTTGGGAGCCCGAGGTGGGCAGATCGCCTGAGGTCAGGAGTTCGAGACCAGCGTGACCAACATGGTGAAACCTCGTCTGTACTAAAAGTACAAAAATTAGCGGGGCATGGTGGTGCCTGTAATCCTAGGTACTTGGGAGGCTGAGGCAGGCGAATCACTTGAACTCGAGTGGCAGAGGTTTCAATGAGCTGAGATCTTGCCACTGCACTCTAGCCTGGGTGACAAAAGTGAAACTTCATCTCAAAAAAAAAAAAAGAAAGAAAGAAAAAGAAAAAGAAAAGAAAAGAAAAGAAAAGAAAAGAAGCCACAATTGGAAATCAAGTGAGTTCTAACAAGCAATCAAAGTCAAGGGCCCACCATGCTGCCAGTGGGAATGGGTCCCCAGAGCACAGGAGTTGGGAGTCCAGCATGAAGAGTCAGAACCACCCCTGGTCCTCAGAGCGCCCATCAGGAACAGAGCACAAAGGGCTCCAACAAGCCTCCTTGCCTGGGTGGAACAAACAGAGATCTGAAAGCAAGATGTGATCCTATCCAAGTCATGTCACCAAAGCTGTGAAAGACAAATGCCCTATAAAGTTAAGGGTATGATTTTATTCAGGCAGAACATTCATGAATGGGGAACATCTCAAAGAAGAGGGAGAAAGCCTGGAGTTTTGAAAAGGAAGTCACGAGAAAGGATGGACTGGAAGTCTTATGGGATTCACAAGAGAAGGCATTCTTGCAATATGTGAGGGCAATGTGGCCCTTTGTGATGAGCCATTTCCCTGAACACAGAAGCTGGGGAGATTTCTTAACTGTTAAACTCTGAGGCTCAGACAAATCTCAAAATTTTCACCCCATCACCTTCTAGTAGGTCTCAACTGGTACAGAGGTTTAGAGTTTGCAGTAGGTAAGGAGGCAGAGCTGTTTAACTTGGAAAAGTTACTAAAGTGATTTTGATTATGCTGTCTTCCAAATCAAAATCACTCATCTATTTAATAAGTTCCTTAAGGTCAGCAATTATATAATCATATCACTTTGTAACATTGGAGCAGTTATTTAATTTCTCTCAGCATCCCTCTCCTACTCAGCAAAATTAGGAGGTTGTAGACAGGTACAAGAATGCTCATTGCATATTTATTTATAAAACCAAAAGACTGAAAACAACGTAAACATATGTGTATGGGAGAATGAATAAATAAAATAATTTATATTCATACAATAGGCTACTATGGCAGTTTAAATAATTTGATGCACACACATTATCACAAATAGATCTTAAATATAACATGTTAAGAAAGTAGAGAATGATTCCAGCAGTGCATCATGCATGGAACTTTAAACTCACAATACAGAAACGATACTATGTATAGTGAATGCATATATACTGAAACCATTTTAAAAAATGAATGAGAGGGGCTGGTCCAATCCCTACCACTAGCCACATGTGGCTATTGAGTGGTTGGAATACAGCCAATCTGAATTGAGATGTGCTATGAGAGTAAGTTACTAACAAAAGGTAAAAATAGCTCATTAACACTTTTTAAATGTTAACTGTCTGCAGAAATAATATTTTGGATATATTGGGTTCTATAAAATAATTACTAAAATTAATTCCATTTGTTTCTTTTTACTTTAAAAAATGCAATTAACTTGTTATATTTGTTTTAAAACACCTTTATTGAAATAAGAATTAATATGCCAGGCAATTCTCCCATTTACATTGTACCATTTAATGTTGTTGTTTTTATATGTTCATAGGGTTGTGTAATCATCGCTACAATAAATTTAGGACATTACATCACCGCAAAAGAAGCCTTGTTCCCATTACCAGTCAGGCAATCGCCATTCTACTTTCTGTCTCTAAGGATGTACTTATAGCTTGTCATTTTATATAAATCATACAACATGCAGTCGTCTGTGACCGGCCCATTTCACTTAGAATAATGTTTTTCTTTTTTAAAAAATACGTAATGCTTTACAAATTTCTGTGTCATCTTTGCATAGGAGCCATGCTAATCTTCTCTGTATCATTCCAGTTTTGGTTAAACTTTTGATTTTAGAATAGTTCTAGGTTTACAGAAAAATTGCAGACAGTACAGGGAGTTCCCATATATCCATATTCAGTTTCCCCTGCTATTAACATCTTACATTAGTATGATGCATTTGTCACAATTCATGAACCAATTGTTTACATTATTACTTATATTCCTATTTTAATGTTTACATAAACATGGTCAATATGTAATTGATACATCAATATGTATATTGATGGGATACCTAGTAGCATTTTGATACATACAATGTATAGTGATCAGATCAAGGTAATTAGCATATCCATCCTCTCAAACATTATCATTTCATTGTGCTTGGAATATTCAATATCTCCCTTTTAGCTGTCAAAAACTATATATTATTATTAACTATAGTTATACAGTGGTATAGAATACGAGAACTTATTCCTCCCATCTAGCTGTAATTTTGTCTTTAACAAATCTCTTCCTATCACTCCCTTTCTCCCTACTCTTCCCAGCCTCTAGCATCCTCTGTTCTACTTTTTACTTCTTTCAGATCAACTTTTTTTTTAGCTTCCACATATGAGTGAGAACATGCGGTGTTTAATTTTCTGTTCCTGTCTTATTTTAAATGTAGCTACTAGACATTTAAAATTACATATGTGCCTCCCATTATATTTCTGGTGGACAGTGCTGAACTAGAAGTTTACATCCCAAATATCCCAAATAGCACTTGCAGTGATATTTAAAGGGACTTTTAGTCATGTTAGTAAGGTTGAATGCATTAAAGAAAAATAGACTAGGAGCAAATATGACAAAAATGTTAACAGTTGTTAATTCTGAACTATGTTAATTCTCTACTATGATAGTAGAGATGATTGCTATAATATTTGTCATGTATTTTTTATTTCTCAAAAAAGAAAAAAGTCTCCAAAAACTTGCATATCTCCCACTCTTATATTTGACTAGATAAAATGAGCAGTGCACTGGAATTTATTAAAAACTAGCCATGTAGGCCTGGCATGGTGGCTCATGCCTGTAATCCAGCACTTTGAGAGGCCAAGGCGGGTGGATCACTTGACCCCAGGAGTTTGAGATCAGCCTAGGCAACATGGTGAAACCCTATCTCTACCCCCCCAAAAAAAAATTATCTTGGCATGGTGGCATGTCCCTGTAGTCCCACCTACTTGGGAGTCAAAGGTGGGAGGATTGCTTGAGCCCAGGAGGTCAAGGCTGTAGTGAGCTGTGACTGAGCCACTACACTCCAGCCTAGGTGACAGAGTAAGACCCTGTCTCAAAAACCAAAACAAAAGCAAAAGCAAAAAACTAGCCATGTAGCCTTAGTCACCTAATTTTTCTGTGCCTCATTTTTCTTTTCTACAAAATGAGTAGTTGAAAGGAATCTTCAAGATCTTGCCAGCTCTCAAAGAAACCTGATTTGTTCTTTATCATATCATTTTGGGGACCTGGCATAGTAAGTGGTATTAATTTATTGTAAAAAAAAGCTTGTATTTATCAAAACAAATGTTTCTAGTAGTGGCGATGACATTGGCGTATGTTATTCCGTGTAATTAATCTGAAGATAGTTGTTTTAGGAATTTGGTATAATTTTGAATTAATCACCATGAAAATCCTGGGTTTGTTTTAATTTATTTTTCTGTTTCTAATAAAACATTTGCCTTTATCATGCATCAGGGAACTCAGTACAACAACAGACTTTTATGCAGAATTTGATGATCTATGTTGTTATGCTGTATAATGTAGGTGATGTTAATAGTACTTGGGAGTAATTATATTTTGGCCCCTCAGAACACTGCAAAAGGCCTTCTGTTGATGCTCCATAAAGTATTACAGCATGAATAAACATTTAAAAATATGTTTTAAAACACATTTTTACTAAGAAATGAAGGATAAATAGTAAGTAATGTGGTCTATTACTGATTTTAAACTTTCAAAATGCAAATAGGTTCTCCTCATATGTAATATTTTTATTCAAAATACACCCTTCCCAAAGCTACTAGTCATAGCTACATACTTAAATGCGGGAGAGAAAAAGTGACTTTATCTTACTTCTGTTTTTTTTCTGTGTATTTCCAAAATCATCATTTTCTCATTTTATTTTTTATTTTCTGTTTAATGAGTATTTGGTTTGGTTACACTGGGTGACTTCGAAGATATGCAAATATGAAAGCTAGACAAAAGTAGAAAACTTAGATGAAGTTCACCTAATAGTAATTTTTATCAAAATATATTCAAAGGAGACTTTATCTGGCAGGATAGGGAATCTATACTCTCTGGGCAGATTACACAGAAAATAAAGAATAATGTTTTGTTAAAGAGTTATAAAACAATTTATAGTTTTAACAGATTAAAAAATCAAATTCTAGGTTTTTTGCAAATATATTTAGCAGTGAAGAATACACAGAAATGTTTTTCTTATGGATAAACCCATCAAAATCAAGCCATCTTTGATAAAATTTTAACACATATTATTGCTTTCTTTCCAGACTCAAGTATTATAAAGTAAGGGAAATAAAATGATCCCTCCTTTCTGCAAACCTTCTACACCTTTCTGCAGCCGTTCATTGTTTGTATTTTTCTATCCTCTAGGTTTCACATTCTGGAACAGCCAGATCTCTAAGACAAGATTCTCTTTTTATTTTGATAAAAATGCATTCCATTTTGTACTTGGTCACCATATTTATATTTCTCTGTCACTATTGTTCTCAGTATAGCCTCAAAATTCGTATTAGTGATAACTTTATCAAAGTCACTGTCAGTCCATTTGTGTTGCTATAAAGGAATACCTGAGGCTGGGAAATTTATAAAGAAAATAGTTTTATTTATTTGGCTCACAGTTCTGCAGGCTGTACAAGAAGCATGATGCCAGCATCTGCTTTGCTTCTGGTGAGGTCCTCAGGCTGCTTCCATTCATAGCAAAAGGTAAAGGGGAGCTGGAGTGTGCAGAGATCACATGAAGAGAGAGGAGGCAAGAAAGAGGGGGGAAGACACCACACTCTTTTCAATAACCAGCTCTAGCAGGAACCAATAGTAAGAACTCACTTATCCCTTTCACCTTGAGGGTGTTGATCTATTCATGAGGAATCTCCCCTCAAAACCCAAACACCTCCCACTAGGCCCCACCTCCAACATTGGGGATCAAATTTAAACATGAGGTTTGGAGGGTCAAATATGCAAACTATAAGGGTGGGGTGTGGTGGCTCACACCTGTAATCCCAGTACTTTGGGCGGTCAAGATGGGTGGATCACTTGAGCTCAGGTGTTCAAGACAAGCCTGAGCAACATAGTGAAACCTTGTCTCTACAAAAAAATACAAAAATTTGCCAGGCATGGTGGCACACTCCTGTAATCCCAGCTACTTGGGAGGCTGAGGTGGGAGGATCGCTTGAGCCTGAGAGGTGGAGGTTGCAGTGAGCTGAGATCGTGCCAGTGCACTCCAGCCTGGGCAACAGAGTGAGACCCTGTCTCAGAAAAAAAAAAAAAAAAGCAAATTATAGCAGTAACTAACTTCTCTTTTACATAGGAAAGTGGGAGGTACTATGTTGGTGCAAAAGTAATTGCCATTAAAAGCCACAATTAATTTTGCACCAACCTAATAGGTAAGTGAGACCTATCTGTCATATATAAGCATTTTAGTGGAGTAGCAAATCTCATGAATACATACAACTTTCTGCAGCTGCTCACTCACCTTCTATGCTTTTTTGCAGTAGAAAAACCAAACATGTTTATCAATATAACCCACAAGATATAGTGACACAGCATGTAAACATAGAGGCAAATGTATATATACTTTAAAGTATGCTTAATAATCTATGTTTCAAAGAATAGACATACTTAATTATCTGAATGTTATTTGTTACTTACTTAACATATATTAGTTCAAGGTTTTAAGTCATCTAGACAACTTAGATATTGTATTCAACCTGATACACTAAAATGATTAGTGATGATATAAAAAGATTTTCACAATAATGTTTCAAATTAAATGAAAACAAATTAACATTTTCATAGTCTTAGGTATTTAGGAATAACTAATTTTTTCTTGATAAATAATCTATTAAATATTTATAAAGGTCTGATAGACTAGTTTCTTCATGAGACATTAAATCCTAATCTCATAAAAATAAAATGTACTCTTGTATTCTATGCTGATAAAAATTTGGGAATGGATACACAGCTGCATTTGTTTGCTTTCTTAAACCCAAATTATTAAACCAAGGATTGTTTAACCTTAATTGTGTAAACTTGTATTCTTATACACAATCTTTTTCAGTTGGTTTTTATGAGAAGAATTTTTTTTTCTTAAAAGGCTACCACTTTGAACAATTTTCAAAGTTTAGCTTTCTTATTTTCTGTGAAGTTTGGAAAACATTGTCTCTACAGATCAATAAGAATAGTTCCTTAAATTTAAGGTACATCATAATCTAACTTATTAAATATTTTAGAAGTAGAAAAATATTTAATTCTCAATAATAGGAGTTAGATGTCTTTCTGAATTATAGACATACCTACATAGAGCTTACAGTTGTAACCAAACCTAAAAACAAAAATTCACTGTCCAGATCACAAAGAGTTGCTCTCTTCCATGGTGGGCACAAAATTCTTTTAGTTTTTTAGAGACAGGGTCTTGCTCTGTCACCCAGGTTGGAATACAGTGGTGCAATCACAACTCATTGCAGCCTTGACCTCCTTGGTTCAAGCAATCCTCTCACCTCAGCCTCTTAAGTAGCTGGTAGGACACTACCATGCCAAGCTAAGTTTTGTGTTTGTTTTTGTTGTTTGTTTTCTTTTTGTAGAGATAAGGTCTTGCTATGTTGCCCAGGCTGGTCTCAAACTCCTGGGCTCAAGTGATCCTCCTACCTTGGCCTCTCAAAGTGCTGGGATTACAAGCAGAAGCCACTGAGCTTGGCACACAATTCTTAATTCATCTGAGCTCATAAATAGGCAAACAGGCAGAGGACCAACAGGTTGGATTTTTATGTAGTTTCTCTTTTCTTTTTTTTTCTTTTTCGATGGGGGAGTCTCCCTTTGTTGTCCAGGCTGGTCTCGAACTCCTGGGCTCAGGCAAGCCTCCCACTTCGGCCTTCCAAAGTCCTGGGATTACAGGCATGAGCCACCGCACCTGGCCTTATGTTGTTTCTCATCTAACAGAGAAGAGATCTACATCATTGATCCAACAGAAATCACCAAATGGCCAAACCATAAAACCAAATTCCCAATCATTACTGCCATCAAATAGTGAATAATTTATTACCGTGGGTGATCAAGAAAAAAACAAAACCACAGAATTAATAGAAAGTGAAGGGAAGGCCTAGAAAGACAGCAAATTTAAACCTCTTTGACCACCTGGAAGGAGCCAAATGAAACCAAACCAAACCAGTTATTGGGCTTAAACAGGTCACTGCTCAAGCCAAGCATTTTATTTGGCTCAAGTGAGTTCCCTTCATAATCTTGGTGAAACAAAATTGGTGTATTTCTTAGCCAACTGACTTTTTAAAAACTTTTTATTGTGGAATATTTCAAACATATATTAACTAGAAAGGACAGTATAATAAAATCCATGAGCCCATCACTGAGCTTTAGTAACTGTCATTCATGCCAGTTTTCCTTCATCTAAACCCACATCCACCTTCTCCTTCCCTCTGGATTATTTTGAAGCAGGTCTCACACATAATACTTCACTTTTCCTTTTATACCTCAGTGTGAATCTACAAAAAGAACTCTTAAAAACACCATGACTGAATCCCACATCTGTCCCAATAATTTACCATAATCCCTTCATACAATTATCCAGACAGACTTCAAATGTCATGAATTGGCCTATAACTATAGTCTATGGGTTATTTGAATCAGAATTTAAACAAGTTCTACCTATTGCGTTTGGTTGATTAATCTCTTAAGTCTCATTGAATCTGTAAATTCACCTTGTATTTTGTTTTTAAAAATCTTACCTTTTATTTGTTGAAGAAACTGGGTCATTGATTCCTTAAAATGTCTCATATTCTGGATTTTGCTGATTGTGTCACCAGACTTTTGTTTAATATAGTTCTCAGTCCCCTGTATTTTCCATAAACTAGTTGTTATATCCAGATATTTAATTAGATTCAGTTTTGATTTATTGGCAAGAATTCTTCATAAGGGGAGTCGTGTACTTTTGTTGAGCGGATGTACTATCTGTCTCTTTTTTTGTGATGCTAAAATTTATCGATGGGTTTGGGTGTTGTCAGCCTCAATCTTTTATTATCAAGCTCCCATTAAGCTTTTTAATGATTTTAGGCTGATCATCAATGACCAGACCAATTATTTTATTAGGAATTCCAAAGTGGTGATATTCTATCATACCTTTATGATTGACCAGCTGGAATGCTTCTATTAAAAAAAAGTTTAAAAAAAAACAAACAAGATGAAATAATCTAAGTGTGCTTTAAGAGAATAAATCTGAATTGATAGGAAGAATGAGTAGGAAGGTGAGACACTGGGCATAAAGATATAATTCAGGATTCCTACAAACCATGTCTGTGAGGGAATTAATGACCTGAACGAGGTAATAATGAGCAGGAGAAACTGGCAGAAAATAGGGCTCCAGAACTGGAGGAGGCAATGATATGCCTGACCCATCAGAAGGCGATCATAGAACCTGGTATCTGTGAAAATGTGGATGCCACTAACAGTAACAGCGAGGACTAGTGGTTTGGAGAAGGTGAGAGACGATGGATATTATTTTGTCTGTTGTCATCTCTTTGTTAAAGGAGGCATTCTCTCCCTGCTGCATTTTCTATTGCTTTGGAGAGCCTGATTTTTAAGAGCTTTACAGTGATTTCTGTCAATTCCCTCAGGGACCTCCTTCATGATCTAATGTTTCTCACCATCTGGAAGTGGAAAGATTTTCCCAACATCTAACCAGAATTTTTATCCCCTACTTTTGCCTCTCTGAGCTGCAAACACAATCATTTCAAGGGTTTATGGCTAGGCATTTCCATTTTTTTAAGTTTGAGGAACCGCCGTGATGACTCAGCTAATTTGGAATTCAGAAGGTTGCCTCTGAGGATCTTTTAAATACATAAACAAAGGCATTTTATTCCATTCCATTGCCCCTACTTAACCTTTTTCTCTACCCCTCTAAAAGATTCTTCTCCCTCCTGTGCTCTTCAATTACAGAGCTGTCACTTCCAAGCCTGGCCTCCTGCTTAAGTAACCTATGTGGACAGTATTTAGTTCTGTGGGTCTTTGCCCATAAATCACTCTCCTACTTTCTAATCATTTATGTTACTGTTCTTCCAACTCCTTTGAGTTGATCCATATTATTCTGGCATCAATGTGCCCAGGCTTGTATTCAGGATTCCAGAGCAAACTTACCAAAGACACCTAAAAAGAGATTTTTCTCTTTTTTTCTCTATTTGGTCACCATTGCCATTGGCTTTTTTTTTTTTTTTTTTTTTTTTTTTTTTTTTTTGCATTGCCTGCCAATCCATTAATTCCTCAATGTTTATCAATGTTCTTCCCTGAGACTAACAAGTCATATTTAACTTAAGATCATAGCATTGAGAAATGAAATACTTTACTTCTGCTTTATTCTGGTTGTGCTATTGCTCTGTTGAGCCATTAAGTTCAGAGAAATTTCATTCCTGTTGTATCACAATGTAAATAATAGACCTCTTCCTTAAATACTTTATAGAAATCGATTTTTTAAAGTGGAACTTTTCAAAACTACACTAGAGCTGGATACATAAAACAATCTTGATGTAGAGACTTTCTTGAAAAGTAAACAAACACTTTTAAATGAACAATTCCCTAACCTGTCAAATTTTCGTGCATTGCATTTTTTTAATGTGATGGGTGTCTGGGGGACACTTCTGCTTTCATTTCTAATGTATGCAAAGAAAATGAAAACCCAGAGACAGAGCAGTGTACCAAGTTATGCCAACAAGTGGAGTTTTTAAGAATAAAGCACAGAGCGTTGGATGGGTTCGTCACTTACTTTCCATGGGCTATGGCTGCTTCTGAGAAAAGTATTAGTCGCATGGTGGATGTGGTTAATGTGTTTTTATTTTTGGAGTGGGCACCTGGTCCTCTGCACCTCACCACCAGCTGAGAAAGCCAGTCACTGAGAAAGAAGGTTTTATATTTGGAGCTGGTAATGGGTACCAAAGTGGTTGGGGCCTAACATCATGTGTTTCATGACTCTTCAAACCTTGGAGAAGCAATTTGTGTCTCATAATATCTATCTTTGGGGAGTCTGTAAAATAGACCAAGTGACCTTTGAAAAAAGGCAGTGAATCCCTTCTATCTCAGGCTGTCTAAAAGAAGCCAGACCATTCACAGCAGTTTCAGATACAGCCCAGCCCAAGGGACATGAAATGCAGGAGTTAGCCCCACCTGGCCTCTTGGATAAAGATGGGACTCTGTGTTCTCTAGTTCCTGTGTGGGACAGGCAAACATGTTAGAACATGTCAGATCATGGAATAGAAACTGAGTCAAGTTTTCCGCATCCTAGGACTTGTGAAACCACCACAGAGCATCAGGGCTGATTTGAAGGCCAACATGCTATTCAGTGCACTAGGTGTTGAAAACCCGTAGCCTTGCTGATGTGTGGTTGAGCCCATTGTAACTGGTATGTTGTTAATATTTTAGATATCGCCACTGAAAAACCATTCCTTGCAAAGTTCAAAAGGGATGCATTCTTGAAGTTAAAGTAATTCCTGAACTCTTCAGTCTGCTCATTGAAAAAGATATTTGAGTATGATTGAATTAGATCTCAGAATTTCCACCTGATAGATTTATATTTAGGTCTCAATTTAGCTAAGCTCTCCAGGTTTAAAGACTGACCCAGTTAATGAAAAGTAGTTATTTGGTTGATTGAGGGTTCATTTTCCTGCCCGCTATGTGTTAGTGAATTGCAAATATAAAGGACAAGGTTATCTTTAGAAATGTGTGCTGGGTGGCTGATTTTTTTTTCTTACTAAATCCAGGGTCTAAACAAGGTCATATCTTGGATAAAGAGCTCCAACAAGTCCCAAGAGTGATACTTCCCACTCCCCTTTCACCCCCTATTTATAACCCGGTGAATTCTGGTTAAAATGAACATCCCAGGAAGCTGATAAGGAAAAAATAAATTCTGAGCAGTGTATGTGGAAGAAAAGGTATTGTGTCATGAACAAGCAGCAACAGATAGTCTTAGCTCCATCTTGTAGCTGGGGACCAGAGAGGTAGGGGAAATGCAGGGTATGCAGTGGAGCCATGCCTCCCATCTATGGCTGTGCATGTCACTTCACATCTCCACCAATTGTACTACAGATGCCAGGGTCATTTCCCAGATTTGCCATTGAAAACCCATCCCCAAAGTGTAGCTAAACACCTGTTCTATGGGTAAGAAACCTCTAATAGCCCCAAGTTTCCCTCTCTTGAAATACATTTTCCAACTCAATCACTAACTGATAATTCTTGATTTTATCTCCTATCCCACTTGTTTTGTCTAATATAACATGCTCTAGAAGGCCAAATCTGAAACTCTCACAGAATCCTCTCTTCCTTTATTCTCAAAAGCCTAAATGAGTTGAAGAAACAAGATGATCATATGCATAATTCAGATTACACTCTTGCGGTGAGGCTGGGGATGGTGATATGGGATGCATTGCACAATCCTTAAAAAAAGATTGGATTCGTGATGCAAGTGCTCACTTTGCTTTTCAGAGTGCACCTGGATGAAAAGCTCTGTGGTGGAGATGGAAGGTCATCCAGGACTTGTCATGACCTGCTTAGCAAAAGAGTTTCAAAGTATAGTCTGTCCTCAGCAGGTACCTGTGAATAAGGTCCCTTTGAGTCTGAAATGCCAGAAATTTGTCGAAGCTTGTGACTCATCAGTAACAAACTGTAGAGACAATTAGCTAAATTCATCTAATTTGTTGAAATTCACAGTTAGGATTTTAATTTGCAAGTCGAGTGGCTACAGCTGTTTGCCTTTCAATGTATGTTAAGCCTTTAGGATATCTTCTCTGTAATAATTTTAACAGCATTGAGTTGAAGCACAATCCCCACAACTTCATTGGGCCTAAGTATTCTATGCTCAAAACAGTATTAGTAAAATAATAAAAGATCCAGGCCATCAAAAGGACCATCTAGACAACTGGAGATAGTCTGACTTGATCCAAAGTGATCATCTCAGGTCATGTTGTATTAGAATATGGACACTTGGTGAGGTTGCCAGTAAGTGATGCTGTTGCATTAGGACACAAGTTGTCCAGGTCATAAAGTGGTGAATTCTCCAAGGTTCAGCCTATGAAATATACTAAGAAGCATCCTTTTTTTGGAAAACACACACTTTTAGTGCTTGTTTGCCTTTCTCATTAATGTCTATGGAAGTTACATGAAGCAAGAAAATAATCACTGTTTAAGAAAAGAGCCAAAGCAAATTGCTATCTTCTCATTTCATTACATATAAGAGGGCAATCCTCTGTGTTAAAGGAAATGAAGTTGTGATTACAGTCACATTTTGAACAACTTTCAAAACTTTGCTTGGAAGGAATCCTTGAGGTTTTCCTCTCTTTGCAAATTTGTATTACATAGAGAGTTAAGGTTTTCATAGCAGTAACCACAAAAGCATAAGAAAACTTGATTAGTGTTTGTGTATCATCTACCTATATTCTTTATTTGTGACAAGGTGATTTTGCATTTGTTTTTTGTTTGTGTTTGAGTGTGTAGATGTATATGCGTATAACGATATAGGTATAAAAATACCCAGATCACTGTGACAAGAAATTCCCATCCATTGGGAACACATGGATGTGTGTTTCCCATTCATCTCCATGTGTTGTATATGCACGTAAATCAATCTGGCCACAAAAACCATCAGGTTTTTAAAAACTAGATACTGGTTGTGCCAAGAGTTAGAAATAGATGAGCACTCTAGGTTTTTCCATAACAAACTTGTGATCAGGTAATCTGTAAAGTTAAAACAAGTGTCAGATGAAATTCTGACATAATAGACTATCATTTATTAGTAAACAAGTACGTAATTCATAGAACTGCGTAATAAATAGGGTGACTGTCTCCCTTTGCCTAGAACTGTCCCAGTTTTGGCACTAAAATCCCAAGTCCAAGAAACACCCAAGTCTTGAGCAAACCAGGGTCTTTGGTTATTCTATATACAATCTTTTCTTTGTTCCCTAACCACTCTTCAGGGCACAGATTAGAGGACTGGCACCAGATTACAGCGTTAGACTGCTGAAGAATTGACCACTCTGAATGAATGCTTTATATGAAGCCTATGAGAAAATTCTGAAGGAAGATGTTGTCAAGCTTATAGTTGGCATGTTGTGGACACAGCCCTCTGAACTACCAGCTGGACACAGAGACACTTAGGACTGGAGCCTCAGGTGCCATTATTAAGGGTAAATTTGAAAAATCTGCTAGACTCCTTTTCATGCAAGAATGGAGTATCTCTAAAATATTTCAGCTTATCCACAAATCTTGAAAACCACCCATTTCATGCTGGAGAACTCATTTTGGCACCTATTATACAATTAGTATTGATTGGCCATTACTTTAACCGAAGAAAGTCCCTTTCTAATACTCACTGTTCTATATTTTTAATGTAAAATTTTGTTCTCAATAGCTTTTGGGGTACAAGTGGTTTTTGGTTGCATGGATAAATTGTATAGTGGTGAAGTCTGAGATTTTACTGCACCTGTCGCCTGAATAATGCATATTGTACTCAATACGCAGATTTTATCCCTCATTCCCCTCCTACCCTCTCCCTTCTTGAGTCTCCCAAGTACTCACTTACAATAATGGGTGAGGTAACTCAGGAATGAAAAACCCAATACCATATGTTCTTACTTATAAGTGGGAGATAAGCTATGGTTAGGCAAAGGCATACAGAGTGGCATAATGGATTGCAAAAGACATTATTGCTGCAAAAGACACTATTTCATTCTTTTTGATGGCTAAGTGGTATTCCATGATGTATATATACCACATTTTCTTTACTCATTGGCTGTTGGGCAGTTGGTTGTTTTCATATCTTTACAATTGTGAATTATACTGTGATAAACATACAGGTGTCATTGCTCTATTTTGAAAAGCCTCTACTGTTGATCGCCAGGATAGTTAGTTGTAGCAGCCTCAGGTTTTCTGATTACACACCTGCTCATCACCACTAGAGTGTGGAGTAAAACTAACCCTATGCATTTATATAACACTGTGTATGATCAAATATTTTAGAGCTGAAATACCACATGCTTCAAAAATAAGGAAATCCATAGACTGAGAAACTTGGGACAATATACTCTCTAAGGACAGAAAATCTGAACTATTTGCTAACAAATTTTTCACAATGTCCAGGTTGTCTTATAACAATATCAAACTTCAACAGAAAGGAGGTCAAGTCAGTTTCTCTAGAAATAACAAGATTAAAGTAAACTCATGACATTCTAGCGAAATGTTGATCTACCAGAGTTAAGGTTTTGGGGAATGGGGCTTTGGAGAATGGGGCTTGAATTCTAGTCTTCCTTCTACCTCTTAGCAAGCTCTATAATTTCAATAAGTCATTTCACCTTTTTTGAATTTTTGTCTCCTTTGTTGTAAAGAGTGGCTGATCTTCAAAGTCCCTTCTACTCTTTTATTATTATTATTATTATTATTATTATTATTATTATTATTATTATTATTGAGACAGCCTTGCTCTGTTACCCAGGCTGGAGTGTAGTGGCACGGTCTTGGCTCACTGCAACCTCCACCTTCCAGGTTCAAGCAATTCTCCTGCCTCAGCCTACCGAGTAGCTGGGACTACAGGTGTGCACCAGCATGCCCAGCTAATTTTTTTTTATTTTTAGTAGAGACAGGGTTTCACCATGTTGTCCCAGTTGGTCTTGAACTCCTGACCTCAAGTGATCCACCTGCCTTGGCCTCCCAAAGTGCTGGGATTACAAGCATGAGCCACCATGCTCAGCCTTCTAGCTCTTTAAAGTGTCCAAAATGTATATTATAATTCCAGGTATACCAAATTTTTACTTTAAGTTTGAGAGAGATAATTAGCTTTTCCTGTGTTTTGTTAGCATTAAGTAGAAATTTGGTGAATTTTTACACTGCTAGTTCTTCAACCATTCTCTTTGACTTTGGAAATGCTAGATGATTTCTCTGAAGCAGAGAATATAACCATGAACACAGTGGTGCTTTGCAGCATCTTTTAAGTGTCTAAGTCTTTTGATGCTTAACAATAGGGAGCATAGGCTGGACCCGGTGGCTCATGCCTGTAATCCCAGCATTTTGGGAGGCCAAGGCAGGTGGATCACCTGAGGTCAGGAGTTTGTGACCAGCCTGGCCAACATAGTGAAACCCCTTCTCCACTAAAAAATACTAAAAATTAGCTGGGCATGGTGGTGGGTGCCTGTAATCCCAACTACTGGGGAGGCTGAGGCAGAAGAATCACTTGAACCCAGAAGGCGGAGGTTGCAATGAGCCAAGATGGCCCCACTACACTCCAGCCTGGGCAACAAGAGCAAAACTCTGTCTCATAAGAAAAAAAAAAAGAATAGGGAGCATATTGTGACCACTGAAGGAGCTTCGTACAAACATTCTGAGTGTGTGTTTACTTCATATTCAAAGACAATGCCCTAAATAGTCATTCCCTAGGAATGCAGAACTTTCAGCTTTGGCATTAAATTTCTCTAAATGGAATTTGCTGTACAGATAAAGCACAAAACACAGCAAGCTTTGACTGTGAGGACATTTCCTTTGATAAAACACACTCAAAAAAAGTCAATGAGAATGATATTAATAGTCCCGTGTTTATGTGAGAGCAATGATTTTTATAATGTGAGGTGAAGATATCCAAACCAATTCTCTAGAATATTTTAGCTGAATTTTCAAACTGGTGTGCTGCCTTAATCTGACATCTAAATCAAGTGATGCTATACACTTCAGGGCACAAATTAGAGGACTGGCACCAGACTACAGCAGTTAGACTGCCGGAGAATCGATACAGGTCATTTAAGCATCAGGACTGCCTATGTTTCATTTTTGACACTGGAGTTTATGCTTATTGAGTGGGGGAGCTTTAACTCTATGGTGGCAATAAACTCATTAGAAAGTGTCAGCTGGGATTATAACACATGTTAAATAAATATCACCAGTGCTGACACACAGTCTTCATTACCTCTTTCCTAGGGTATCTGGATATAAAAGGAGACTAAGCAGTTTTAAGTATAGTGGGATTTAAAAACAATTTTTCTCTCTCATAGACTTGCCACAAGTGCTTGAATCCCATTATTGGGAAGGAATGCCTATGAGCAAAAGACTTTTCTTTTTTTCTAGGAACTTGTAACTAAATGATATGCCAGCTAACACTGTTAAGAGGATTAGCTCAGTGTGGTCTTGTTAGAATGAAACTCTAATTAGGTATCTGGGAATCCTGTGTTAGACAAACAATCATACTGATAAGTTGTTTTAAGGAAATATGGTCTCTTCAGAATATGTTCTCCAAAATCACATGAATTTTAAAGGCAATAGATTGACATAACCATTGGCAAGACTATGATGAATGGAGTCAGATGAAGCAAAATGCTGGGTAGCAGGACCTTGAGAAATGCCCTTTATAAAATGTACTTGTGCTTCTTCTAATCAATGGCTCAGCTCTGCCTCCATCTCAAGTTCTCAGTCCCAGACCTTGCTTTCCTGAACTACATCTTTTTGATCCATAAGCAGAACAGGATCACTGCACAGGAAAGCAGTTGGGGCCAGAGATGAGCTTTGTCTGCCACACTGCCTGCTCTAGTGTTGAGTGTTTACTCAGCAGCTGTGTTCCCGCAGTCAACTGAGAATTCATCAAAGCTTTGCTTTCAGCTCTTCTCTGGGTCCAAATGAGTATAACTCCCCCTTCTGAGTAGAAATTCTTTTTAAATGTCATTGGTTAACTTTTAAATAGTTTTTCTTTTTTTTTTTTTTTTTTTTTTTGAGGAAGTCTCGCTCTTTCGCCCAGGCTGCAATGCAATGGCACAATCTTGGCTCACTGCAACCTCTGCCTCCTGGGTTCAAGCAATTCTCCTGCCTCAGCCCCCTGAGTAGCTGGGATTACAGGTGCAGGCCACCACGCCCAGCAAATTTTTGTATTTTTAGTAAATACAGGGTTTCACCATGTTGGCCAGGCTGGTCTCAAACTCTTGACCTCAGGCGATCCACCTACCTCGGCCTCCCAAAGTGCTGGGATTACAGGCATGAGCCACTGCACCCGACCAACTTTTAAATAGCTTTAAACTGTGACCCAGATTACCTTATGTGTTGCATCATTACTGGATGGGGGCTCTTCATCTGCCCCTTCCAGCCAGTTATCCTCTCCTGTCTTTTTTTTTTTTTTTTTTTTTTGGAGATGTAGTCTTGCTTTGTTGTCCAGGCTGGAGTGTAGTGACACGATCTCAGCTCACTGCAACCTCCGTATCCCGGGTTCAAGCAATTCTCCCTGCCTCAGCCTCCTGAGTAGCTGGGATTACAGGCGCCTGCCACCACACCCAGCTAATTTTTTTGTATCTGTAGTAGAGACTGGGTTTTGCCATGTTGGCCAGGCTGGTCTCAAACTCCTGACCTCAGGTGATCTGCCCACCTTGGCCTCCCAAAGTCTCCTGCCTTTGAACAATGTATTTGCTGTGCATTTTCCAAGAATTGATGTTCATTATATAAAATATATCTCACAACAGATAACAAAAGAATTTTTATAACTATCATTGATCCTGTAGACGTCTTCATCTAGTTCACGCACGTAATGGGTCATAGAATTCTTGCAGGATCCACAGTTTACGGGCCCACTGTATCATGTATTTCCTAAGACAAATTGGAAAGCTGGGTCGTTAGGACCAAGGCAAGTTGTTTAGTCACCCAAATTACTCTCCTGCAACCAACTCATTGTCAAGAACCTAGTAGGTGTGCCCTGCTGGCCTAGAGAATGCAAATGCTGAGCCCTGGGCTCTCAGCCTGACCACGGAGAAACAAGTTAATGCACTCTTCTGGGAATGGTGCATCTGAAAACTTACAAATATTTAACTGTCTCCAATAATGAATTGACCTGGAACAATTCCTTATTCAATAAAAAAAGTGCTGAGTTTTAATGAAAAATAATGAAGCCATCTACTAAAATGTTAATCCATGCAAAGCACCTGGAAGAGGGCCCGGCACGTAGTAAGTGCCTGTACTTATTCTCCACTTGACCCCTTAGCAAGACTCCCTCCCCCGCCAGTCATTCTCCCATCTTCTCTGGCCTGCTGTCTTCCCAGAAAATAGGACTTCTACATAGGACTACATCACCCAAATTCCCTTGCGAGCCAGCTTCAGTTAGGGGCCAGCCAATGGGAGGAAGTGTCAGGGAACCAGTAGGCGGGAGAAGAAAGGGTAGGGAACTTCCTTCCTGCCCCCTCCGAGTTTTGCCTCTCTCACTGGCAGCAACCCAGCGCTTCCATTGCTGACCTCTACCGACCTCTACCTGTGGTCCTTCCTCTACTGCAGCAGAGACACTGTTTTCTTCCTTTGTTCTTCCAACCCCATGTAAGTTAATGCCTTGCCTCTCTTGCTGGTACCTGGGTGCTTCAACATGCCATTTTTTGGTTCCTTAATGCTGCCCAAATCTCTGTAAGTAGGCCCTTCACTAAAGACTATTAACTTACATCAGTGGTTCTCAACCCTTGCTGCACGTGACCACCAAGGGAGCTTTTGAAAACTACCGGTGCCTGGGCTGGCATTCCCAGAGATTATTGCAACTGGCTGGGGTGGGTTCTGGCCGCTGGTGTTGTCTAAGAGCTTTGTAAGTAATGAAGCCAGAGTTAAGAGCCACTTACTGAAATCACCCGAGTGAATTCCAGCCTCCTGCCAAACCCCTGACTGATAGAGCGCTCAGTGAATGTTACCTGTTGTGGTTGCCATTACAACAACTACTACTGCCACTTCTATTTCTACTGTGCTAATATTAATAGTTTTCCCCAGTTTACAGATAAGGAAACTCACACAGAGGTTAAGTAATTTTCTGAAAATCACATAAGTTAGAGTTCAATTTATTTGGCTGAAAAGCTCATGTTCTTTATGCTTTTTTTTTACTATGATATCCTGCAAAGGTCAGGTCTTCTCGAACTTTAAGGTGCATATGAAACACTTGGGGATCCTGTTTAAATGGACCTTTTGATGCAGGAGTTCTGAGGCCTGAGAGTCTGCTTTTCTGACAGCCTCCCAGGTGTCGCCAATGCTGCTGGTTCAATGACCATCCTTTGAGTATCAAAGGTGTAAACAATTAGCCACTCTTTTTTTTTCAAACCTTCAAAAATTCCTCCGCTATCCTCATCATTTTCACCTGATGATCTTGCGTCCTTCCTTATTGAAAGAGGTTTCCAAAGAGATTCTGCCAGACTCACACCGTTACATCTACGCACTTTCCCACATTTCCTACATACTCTGCCTTCCTGCCCATAGCCATAGATGAAATATTTGTACTCACATCCAGTGCCATTCCATCCATTGCAACAGATCCCATCTGCTCTTGCTCACCCAAGAGTATTTCTTCATGAATGCGCTCCAGTTTTGCATCATTTTTTCCTCCATCCTGAATTGTTTCCATTAGCATAACATGCAAATATCATGTTTTTAAATTTTAAAAACAAAAAACTTAGTTTGAATCCATCCCCTCATCACCAACTTCCACTCCAGTTTTTGTACTTATTTTCAAACAAATTACTCAAGTTTTTTTTTACTTGGTCTCCAATTGTGTTTTTCTCATTGTTAGACCCACTCCACCTTAATCAGCCCTCATCAAGGTCATCAATGTGATTCATGTTGCTAAATCCATTGGGCGTTTCCAGTCTTCACCTTTTCATTAGTATTTGGTACTTTTATAACTCCCTCCCCCTTGATACGGCTTCTGTACCTTGGTCTTTAGAACACCACATTCTCTTGTTTTTTCTTCCAGCTCACTAACAACTCCTCTGCCCTCCTCACCGGTTCTTCCTCTTATCTCTAACGTCTTTGGCAAGCTCCAGGACTCAATCTTTGGTTCTCTTTTCTATGTACATTTACTTTTTTGATGACATCCTATAGCAGCATAGCTTTAAATAGCATACATATGCCAGACTTATACCTCCATCTCAGATCTTTCCAAACTCATAAATCTAGCATCCTATGCAGCATCTCCACTGGAATATCTAATGGACATTTGAAACATAACATGTTCAAGACTGGACTTCAAATATTCTTTCCTAAATTTATTTCACTTGGAGTTTTCCCCATCTCAGTTGATGCAACTCCATCCGTCCTGTTGCTTAGGCCAAGAATCTTGAAGTCATCCTTGACTTACCTCTTTTTTTCATACCTCATGTCCAAGCTAACATGCATTCCTATTGACTTTTCAAAATATATCCAGAATGTCACACTTCTTACCACCTCTACTACTAGTACTACTACTAACAATAACAACAACAACTACTACTACTACTACTACTACTACTACTGCTACTACCCTTTACTGAGCTCCTTGCTTGGATTTATTGCAATAGTCTCTGAAACAATTTCTTGATTCCATACTTGTTACCTAATGCAGTCTATTTTGAAAAAGCAGATAGAGTGACCCTTTTAAAATGTGAAGTGGTTCTTATGGCTCCATTGTTTAATATCCTGTAAAAGCTTTCATTTCACTCAAAGAATAAGCCAAAGTTTTTATATCAGTTAAAGGTGTCTACATAGCCCACCCCTCTTCTTACCCTTCCCAACTTTACTTCTCTGGCCTTGTATCCTGCTAATTTCCTGCTTGATCGTTTCTCTCCAGGCATATTGGCTTCCATGATGCTCCTTGGAGTTTCCAGGCACGCTCTTGCCTTCTTGCCTTTGCACTGGGCTTCCCTTGTCCCTAGAATGCTGTTCTTTGAGTATCTGTGTGGATAGCTCTTACATTTCTTTCAAGCTTTTGTTCACATGTCATTTTCTCAGTGAGTCTTATCCTTATTACCCTATTTAAAATTGCAACTGTCCTTCATCCAGTACCTCTCTCTGGCTTCCCTGATTTCCATGACTCTGCTCAATTTTTAAATTTTTTTTTTTTTTGCAGTATGCAATCTTCTTATTTATTATGCTTGATACTTATTACCTGGAGTATAAGTTTTCAGCAGAACAAGGATGCTTGGTTTTGGTTTTCTAACATTTTTAAAGTACCTAAATGAGTGTCTAGCACATAAATTTACTCAAACAATTTGTTGAAAGAAATGAAGAACAATTGTTTTAGTTTTAAGATGACAGATTATAGAATACACTTAATCAAGAGCCGAGAGTATAAGTTTTCCAAGTGTGGTAACGAGACTCAGACATAACACACAAACAATAAAAACAAAAGTTTCACCTCTTTCTAGACCTCAAAAGAGATCTAGTCATTTCTTTGGACTTCTGGCTATTTAAAAGTGGGATCCATTGACATATGAAAAAAATTTCTAAGTTTTGCCCCTGTCTAATATCTCAGTTAAAGTAAACAACTATTTCCTTTTTTCTATGCTCAACAGCATTTGCCAGCATTTTATAGTATGAAAAAATGTCTCATGGCATGGAATTTAGGCTATTGACAGATTGTATAGGGGAATCTAGAGACGATGAGGTGATATTCAGCATTTCACTGCCCAGAGCCCTTGGGGTAATGTTCTCAAGAGAAATCAGTAATTGGAAGCCAACTAAATAGCTTTGTTTCCCTCAAATGCGAACCTGGTTACTTTATCAAGCAAACAGATGTTTATTACTTTCAGGCGGAAAATAATAAGTCAGGCAGGTTTACAAGCCCCCTTTCCATCTTGAAAGCATTTTTGTCAGCTGCTTCATCCTCAGAGAAAATTACCAAATCAAACCTTGAAAAGTAGATGATTAGTGGGTGTCACATGCAACATCTCATTTCTCTTTCGGGTGGGGATATGGAAATGCTATTGACCTCCCACTTAGGAAAAAACACACGTTTGACAGTAGAGTTGTTCAAGGGCTTTTTCTTGGAGCATAAACACCATGTAACCATATGCTAATGGAGAAAAGCAAAGGAACCTGGCATGAGGCACTCGGGAAAGCTTAGATCATGGTTTATAAACAATGATAGAATAGCTGACACTTATTATGGGGGAGAGAAGAATCTCATGTCTTCTCCCCAAAAGTAATTTGGAACAAGCTGAATAGGGTCACCTGAAAAGCCTCTTCATCCTTTTTGATTATCCTAATCTTTCAAAAACCAGTTGCTACACCTCTCAGGAAAATCCAGGGAAGAACAATGATGGTTATGATAAATGGTGAGAGTCTTTAAAAGTCCAAATGCCAAGTTCAGAGAGCATTCAGTAAGGTTCTCCAAACACAGAGGGATACCTGTGAATTTTCTACCTTTCAATCATTGTAATAAAGATTTAAAAAATACCTGCAGTGACTGTGAGAGACAGAGAGTTGCAAGGTCTTGTGTACCTTTCAAAGCCAGGAAAAGCCAAGACCAAAGGAGCCTGAGGAATCTTTATCTGCACCAGGGTGCAGACATTGGAAACAAGTGGAATGGGAATCCAAGCGTGGCTTGCAGATTGAATGAATATGTGTTCTACACACGTAATGGTGTTTTTGTATGGGTGTACCACTAGATGAGGTCTATAGGAATTCTTCAAACTAGTCTCAGAGTTGCATGAGAGCCAGCTACTAACAGTTAGCTATGCTGCCTGCACCAGCTGTGCTGTCAGCAGAGTGAGGAGACTCATCCAGTGTTCCCTTTATGTGTTGGTTTAATTATCTGTCATTTCACATGCATGGAGTATCCTTCCCCCAACATAGGTAACCGCTTGAAGGTAATGGAAAAGCATGGTATTTGTAGATAGTCCTAGCTTTGTGTTTAGTAGTGCAGCAGAGAAGAAACTGTAGGGGAGAAGAAATCTTTTCTTATCCATCGCGTGGTTCATGGCTGAGACCCCGGTAAAGAAAGACAGATTAACAAGAGAAAAGCATACAAATTTAATATAAGTTGTACATGACACAGAAGCCTTCATAAGGAAATGAAGTCATGAAGAAATGGATAAACCTGTGTATTTTTATGCTAAGTCTGATGAAGAAGTGACCTTGGAAAAGAAGCATGATTAGATAAAGGTGCATGATCTAATGGTAATAAACTTGGGGAAACTTAGCAAGGCCTGTTTGTCCAGATTCTTCTCTGTGTCCCTATATCTTCAGAGATAAGGATATGCCTATCATCCAAGTATAGAGTAGGTGCCTCTGGAAAGAACCTGCTTTGGGAGAGAAGGACCAAGGAAAGATGAGAGTGGCCTTCGTTTTTCTGCTGTTATCTCAAATGGCAAAGTGCCATATATTGGAGTGGCATGTCCTGAACTCCATCATTAACTGTAAGTAAAGGGCCAGTCATTTAACATCTGAGTCTTATTTTCTTAATTCTATTTGCAAAATGGGAAGTTAATCAAAATAATACCTTCAACACAGTGTAAGGATCCAGTGTTGAAAGTGATTGTAAATTCTACAAATGTTAGTTTCCCAAGTGACATGTAACTGTGGCTCACGGTGTAAGTCACTTAGTTATAGTTTTTCATCTGATTTTCTTGGTCTTTGCTGAACCGTCTCAATCATGTTTTTTTAAGAAATTGGGTTCTCATATGGGGAAGGAGGTCATGAGAAAATCAGACTGCACCTCTTTAGTACAGCCATTGTGTGCCTGTTGTCTCTGCTTATTTAAATATTTTACTTTCATGAACTTCTACAAAGTTCTACCAGGGCTACTTGGTACCTTCTTCTCCTCCTTACACCTCTGACTATGCAAATTGACGTCTCTGAATAGCATCAAGAATGGGCATTTCATTCAGTTATTGCCTCTAGAGAAGTACACTTCTATAGATGTTTTAAAAGGCAATAGAATATTTCCATGGATTTAATACCTTGGGCTTCAATTATACATACATTTTTTTTTCTTTTACAGTTCTCATTCATGCCCTTAATGACCAAAATACTATTTGCCACCTGCAGGAGTGATTATATTAGCAGAAGGGACATTAGAGACATTTGTAGAACCCAAAATGATGCCTTTCAGGAAGTATATATTCTCTTTACCAGGAGGAAGTTGCCACTGGTGTAGTGTATATAGATAAGACATTAGGAAAAGGATGTTAAAAATAGATGAGGCAAAAAATCAGATTACTTCTCCAGCAGCCATTACCATAGAACCAACCACGAATTACCAAGGTCAAGGATAGGATATTAAATAGAAGCATACACAGAAAGAGAGAGAAATGAACAGAAGATATAGGTAAGTGGATACAGGCCAAGAACTTTCTTCTGAACAAGTTTCTTGTCAAAGTCTCACATCTTTTTAATGATTTCTTTTTTTCTGTCTTAGTACTGATTCTTTTAAGAAGGGCCGTAGTAGTTACAAAGTTATAATGATTTGCTGAAGTTTTCTTCAAGAAATAGTGCAGAAGACCATATTGGTGATTACAACTCCTTGTCATTAATAAGGAATATACCAATTGATCTTATAACACTTTTTTTTTTCCTGGACAGTCCTGTTGTCAGCCAGAACTTGCCATAAATAACTTGTATGGTTTTTGGTCATTTTTCCCAATACGATATAAAGGGCTTTTTAAAATATGAGACAGGATCTTTCTCTCTCTCTGTCGCTCAGGCTGCAGCGAGTGGCACAATCATAGCTCACTGCATTCTCAACCTCCTGGGCTCAAGCGATTCTTCCATCTCAGCCTTCCAAGTAGCTGAGACTATAGGTATATGTCACTATGCCTGGCTAATTTTTGTATTTTAGGTGTTTCATCATGCTGCCCAAGCTGATCTTGAACTCCTGAGCTCAAGCAATCCACCTACCTCGGCCTCCTAAAGTTCTGGGATTTACAGTTGTGAGCCATTGCACCTGGCCCATAATTTTAATAATGAACATTGTCCTAGATGCCAAAGAGTCAATAGTGGAATGCTGGAAATCTATAAAGTAACAGTAATAGTTTATATTTCTGCAGGATTACTTTCTAGAGCTCTATAGAGTATCTTACCTAATCTTCCCTCCAGAAGCTGGATACAGTTGATACTAACCATTCCTTTTTATAGCTGAAAAAACTTGATTAATAGTGGCCTGCCTAAACATCTGAAAGCCCATTCTTTATCTGCCTTCACCTTTCTTTCTTATGTGATAACTTCTTTTTTAGGGAAAAAAAATCTATAGAATGGAAAGTTTAATAAAGCAGCTTTTTATATCCCATTCTCTCACACGGGGTCTCTTTCAGTCTACCTTCCCTTTTTACACTTGTCACTGAAGTTCCTTCCCATTTTCACCTTTTCCTTCCCAATTTGAGGGCAAGGTTAGAAAGAAAGTAGAATAGGACAGCTTATACTATAGCCATGAATAATAAGGTATTTCTGAGAGCTAATTAAACTAAAGAGCTTTTGCACAGCAAAAGGAACAGTCAGTGGAGTAAACAGACAACCCACAGAGTGGGAGAGAATCTTCACAATCTATATATCTGACAAAGAACTAATATCCAGAATTTACAACAAACTCAAATCAGTAAAGAAAAATAAGTAAGCCCACAAAAAGTGGGCTAAGGACATGAATAGACAGTTCTCAAAAGAAAATATACAAATGGCCACAAACATGAAAAAAATGCTCAACATCACTAATGATCAGGGAAATGCAAATCAAAACCACAATGCGATATCACCTTACTCCTGCAAGAATGGCCATAATCAAAAAATCAAAAAACAGTAGATGTTGCCGTGGATGCAATGAACAGGGAACATTTCTACACTTCTGGTGGGAATGTAAACTAGTACAGCCACTATGAAAAACAGGGTAGAGATTCCTTACAGAACTAAAAGAGCTACCACTTGATCCAGTAATTCGACTACTGGGTATCTACCCAGAGGAAAAGAAGTCATTATTTGAAAAAGATACTTGCACATGCATGTTTATAGCGGCACAATTCACAATTGCAAAATCATGGAACCAACCCAAATGCCCATCAATCAATGAATAGATAAACTGTGGGGGTGTGTGTGTATATATATATGTGTGTGTGTGTACATATATATATACACATATATATACATATACATATATACACACACGTATATACATATATGTGTATATATGTTGGAATACTACACAGCCATAAAAAGGAATTAACAGCATTTGCAGTGACCTGGATGAGATTGGGTGAGACTACTATTCTAAGTGAAGTAATTCAGGAATGGAAAACCAAGCATCATATGTTCTCACTTTTATGTGAGAGCTAAGCTATGAGGACTCAAAGGCATAACTGATACAATGGACTTTGGGGACTTGGGGGGAAGGGTGGAAGGGGGGTGAGGAATAAAAGACTACAAATATGGTGCGGTGTATACTGCTCAGGTGATGGGTGCACCAAAATCTCACAAATAACCACTAAAGAACTTACATGACCAAATACCACCTGTACCCCAATAACTTATGTAAAAAACATCCCCTTAGAAAAGATATTTATTGGATTTTGTAAATCTGGAAAGAAATAGTTTTTAAGGAAAATTAACACTATCCATGTTGGCTAAAGAGAACATACAAAACTTAAATATATCAATAAACATGATAGGATGGGAAAATTTTGAAAAATATTATTCAAAGTTACTGCTGTTTAGACTTACAGATTAACTCTTTCTGTCTTTGGAGGATAGATAACAGAATATATATAGTGTCTTAAAATGCTGGGAAAAAAATAGAAGTGTGCCATTAATACTTGACCAAGTATCACACAAAAGGAAACTTCAGGCAAATCTCACTGAAGAACATTGATGCAACTGACCAAAGCCAACAGCAACGCGGAAGTTTTAAACAGTTTAACTTTTATGTGAATACCCAAGTTATAAAAGCAAAAAGTTTTATTATTATAAAGCTTTTTATAATTCTAACTTCATAGAGTTGATCTATTATGTAGCCAATTTTTATGGACCGTGAGGTTACTTTGATGATTAAGACAATATGAAGGAAAGGATCCTAGATCAGAATTGCCATCACATAGCAGAGAAATTTAAAAAAAAATCATAATTCAAACCGAAAAAGTAGTTGCCAATGGATCAAAGCTTTTCACAGTTTGCCTTATAATTCTTAGGTTAAACTGACCCAGAAGCCTATAAAAGAAAGCATAGGGATGGTTTGTCTGGTTAGTCAGCAAAACTTAGTAGTCCACCATCTCTAGCACAATATTTGTTCACTTTGGGAAGCTTTCATGTGTGACTTATTTTCACTCATTGGAGGCCTTGGTGTCCATTCTGCGGTTGCCACTGGGGACATTGTGGCAGGGGTTTTCCTTCACATTGTTGTTCGCAAAATGAATGACTGCCAACTTGCTTGAGGATGAGATTAAAAACTGATACATATTTTTTTTTTCTCCTGTAATGTACCATCCAAGTTATTTGGCTTCATAAGACAGTGGGGACTGTTCTCTCTTTCTTTAATTTCTCGACAAGGCAGTTTAACCCAGGATTAAATGAAATTAAACCATAAAATATTAAATTACGGGGCTGCTTGGTACAATCAATAGGTGAATATGCTCTTTGATTCTCTAACATGGAAACAGAGTGTGGCAGATTTCTAAAGTTTTGTCATAGAACTTTTTCTTCAAGGAGTACAACTGTTCAATAAAATATACTTTGGGAAACCCTAGACATATTCCAGTAAAAGTTAAGAACAGTAGAAGCATGTCGGGTATCTCTATTTTTAATCATTATTTCTGAAGGGCTGGTACAAGACTACAAAATAAGGAATTTAATGATTCGATGTTTTAAAAAAGAAGATAACATTTTCATTTGAAGATTGTGATTTTTCTCTTAGAAAATACAAAAGAATTAACTAAAACGCTATTAAAATTTAATTTAAAAAATGCAAAAGAACATTACTATAGCATACAACCTGTCCTAAAAAAAAAGGTTACAAAGTAAAATTAAAACCTTAAAGCTCCCTTTCTGGCCTTCAGATGAGCGCTTGTTTTAAAAGAGAAAAATGCAAAAATCAACTTTTGATTTGGTGAGAACTCTTGTTAAAAATTTCATAAAATGATTTTTCTGGTGTTCATGTACCCACTTGGTGGACTCTGTCATATCATGGATTTAAGTCTGCCAAGTTCAACATCCTACTTTTTATTAAAAATCTCTTTCTGGCTAAGAATAAATGCTTCTTAGACTTCTTCATTTTCATCACCAGCACTAGCAATGGTTTATTTCTCCCATAAGAGCCATTTTTCAAAAATATATGAAGTTTTTATCACTTAAGAACAGTTACTGCTCATGAAAGAGAAAGAAGAACAGAGCTAAGGTGAGCCACTTATAGGATGAGAAGAAGCCAGCTCACTGTTCATGAGTAGTGGTATTGGGACAGGCCTCCACATATCAGGCCATTAGTTTGTACAATTAAAATCCATGCCACCACAAAACTACTCATCACTCTGTGGCGTGAACCCTTGAGGTTGCCTCCAAAGAATACAAACTGTGTTATTAAATCCCTGAATGCCAGGAGTCTACTGAACTACAAATAAATACAGTAATAATACTTATCATCACCAAGATGGTTAGGTTTATTATTTTTATATAGTCTTAAAACATTTCACTCTAGGCCACCTAGGATTAACTCATTTTAGCTAAAAATATCGCACAGGATGTATCGTTCTTGCCACCTATTAAAAAGTGTGTGTAATATCTGAAATTTGTGAGAGATTGTATACTCTAATAACATAACATAAGTGCATTCGGCAATGAATAATGCATGGGCATCTTCAAAATAGTAGTGTGTGGCAGATTATGGATCATCTAACATTAAATAATTCATCTGCTTGACTGCCCTTACATCACAGGGTTATGAGTCTCATTTAACACATTAGGAAGCATAGACACTAAAAAGTTAACTGGCCTTTTTAGGGCTTTATGGGAAATTGTTGGGAGATGAGAATGAAAGATCAAAAATTCTTAGCTTCAAGCCATTTCCTCTGTTCTTTAGATTTTGGTTTTCTGATTAGAAAATTTTCTAATTTTAGCTGATTGAATATTCCTGACATACTATTGAGATATATTTAAAGCAGAAGCAATATGCAGACTTATATATAGAAGAATGTAGCAAATCATTTAAGGTCAGTCGAAGTGCCTGGAAGTTGCATGTAATTACTACATGGGGAAAGAGAATCTCTCTTAACCTTGGAGATCTTAACTGAGACCCAAAATACTGAAGCAAACCACCCATTGGAATTGAATGCTTCGTTTATTTGGGAGGCAATTCAGAGTAAGCAGAATGAAGCCAATAGAAGGTGTTAATAATCAGCCTGTCACTGTAAGTCATTAGTTGCCAGGCCCACTAATAACTGCTCTACCCAAAGGTAAGAAAGCTTAGATATGTATTTACTAATTCCTGTTTTTCACTGTTGAAGATGTTCATAGAGCTTCTGTGCCCTGCTCCTCCCTGCCTGTCCTATTTGAGCTTAACATGTTCCAGTGGCCGGAAATTGCTCTCAGTCAGTGATGTGTAGATGAGAAGCTTTGTTTGATGTACGAACCTGCAGGTGTATATGGGAACAGTGAAAGCAGAGAGGATATATGTGGTCAGCAAAGGCATCAGCTACAATTCACCTCTGGTACTACCCACATTCACTCCTGTCCGAAGTTGAGTTAAATTTGTCTGATTAGAAATTCTTCAAAGTCATGGCCAGACAAAAAATTTTTTGAAAGGCTCAGAAAAATGGTTAAAGTGATCATCTGTAGCCTACTGCTGCAACTGGTTTCAAGATCATTATTTATATTGATCATCTTCCTCTGTCATGCTTTCTAGATTCCTCTCACTCTCAGCTGCTGTAGGCTTTCACCAGGGAGGTAACCTGTACTCTCATCTACGAAAATGCTCCCCCATTTTTTCATTTCAACCTTTGTCAAATATAGTTACTGCAACTACCCATCCATCGCTATTACTGGGCATTGAGCACCAAGACACATTCCTATTAAATCCTCTGATTTTTTCCTCTTGCCCTCATTATATAGCAGCAACAATATCTTCTCATGATAGTCAGATACTTCAGTCAGTATAGTTATTTCTTTGCCCCTTGGTCTAGTCCCAAGGGACTAGGTGGTACCAGTAGCTTTGGGTTTAGTGAAACCCATATTCTGTCCCCTGGTATAAAATTTCCTTTCCAGCAATAGTACTTACAATCCATCAGAGCCTGATGTAAAGATAGAAAGCACAAATTTCCCAAGTGGGCCACTGAAAACAATGGTAAGAATAGCCACTTCTTACCTAACCCTTTGTTTCATGATCTCATTTTCTATCTGTAATCAACATAGGCCATATAACGCTTATCGATTCAAAGTGTATTCTCTATTTCGAAGGATAGCACCCTAACTATGCATGCTGTCATACCCAACTTGGATGGCTATAAAAAGCCGTCTCAACATTCTGTCAGTCAGACCAGCAGCTTTGGGTGCTGCTGTTTATGGTAGAATCAGTGAACCCCACAATCTAGACTTACTATGTCACCACAGTATGGATCCTTTGAGTCTGAGGCAATATTACATTGGTAAATCAGATATTTTGAGACTTTGGGTAGTTGTGCTAGCCATTCCACTTTGTTTCAAATCCATCGTAACTTGAATATATCATAAGTTGAAAATGCTTTCAATAGCTTACAGAATATCATAGTATAGCCCAGCCTATCTTAAACATGCTCGGAACACATACATTAGTCTACAGTTGGGCAAAATCATCTAACACAAAGCCTATTTTCTAATGGAGTGTTGAATATCTCATGTAATTTATTGAATACCGTACTTAACGTGGAAAACAGAGTGGTTGTATGGGTACTCACCATTAATGTACACAGCTGAAAGCACACTGGGCCTGAAGAATGTTTGAAGAATTGGACTACAATCAATTGCTGGATGATGGGGAGGCTACAGCAACAGGGTTATTAATTTCTGTCTCTTCTGATGAGGCTCAAGAATAGCTGGTAGAAGGCACTGGTGCATGGACACTTAATGGTTTAGCAGGCATAGTGTTAGTCAAGAAGATATCAAGTATTGTTTACCCTCGTGAGTGGCTGGCTGCCTGGGAGCTGTGGCTCACTGCTACCACTGCCCAACATCAAGAGAAAGTATCATACTGCATATGCTAGCTCTAAAAAAAGATCAAAATTCAAATTTCTATGTACGATTTTTACTGAATGTATGTTCCTTTCACACCATGGTAAAGTTGAAAAATTATAAGTTGATCTATCATAAGTAAAAAAAAAAATGGCCATTCCACTTGGGGTGAGATGATATCTCATTGTGGTTTTTATTTGTATTTCCCTGAGGTTTAGTGATATTGAGTATTTTTTAATACAGCTATTGGCCATTTGTATGTCTTCTTTTGAGAAATGTTTATTCATGACCTTAGCCTACTTTTAAATGGAATTATTTGTTTTTGTTGTTGTTGAGTTGTTTGAGTTCCTTGTATATTCTGGATATTAGACCCCTGCTGAATGCATACTTTGCAAATATTTTCTGCCATTTAACAGGCTGGCTCTTCAGTTTTGATTGTTTCCTATGTTGTGCAGAAGTATTTTAGTTTAATATAGTCTCATTTATCTATTTCTGTTTTTTTTGTTTTCTGGGCCTTTAAGGTCTAATCCATAAAATATTTGCTTAGACCAATGTCCTGAGACATTTCCCCTATGTTTTCTTCTAGTGGTTTTATAGTTTTGGGTCTTTCATTTAAGTCTTCAATCCATCTTGAGTTGATTTTTGTATATGGTGAGAGATAGAAATCCAATTTCATTGTTCTGCATATGGATATCCAGTTTTCCCAGCACCGTTTACTGAAAACAGAGTTCTTTTCCTAGTATGTTCTTGTTGTCTTTGTAAAAAAAAAAATTAGTTGGCTGTAAATACATGGATTTATTTTGGAGTTCTCTATTCTGTTCCATTAGTTTGTGTGTCTGTTTTTATACCAATTACATGCTGTTGTGGTTACTATAATTTTGTAGTATATTTTGATGTCAGGTAGTATAATGCCTCCAACTTTGTTCTTTGTGCTGAAGATAGCTTTGACTATTCAGCCTCTTTTTTTGTTTCCATGTGAATTTTAGGATTGTTTTTCCTATTTCTGTGAAAAATGACATGGGTATTTTGATAGGGCGTGCATTGAATATGTAGATTGCTTTAGGTAGTATGGTCATTTCCATTTGTGTCCTCTTCAGTGTCTTTCTTCAGTGCTTTGTAGTTTTTCTTGTAGTGGTCTTTCGCCTTCTTGGTTAAATTTATTCGTAGGTATTTTATTTTGGTAGCTATTGTAAATGGAATTACCTTCTTGATTTCTTTCTCAGATAGTTCATTATTGGTGTTATAAATACTACTGATTTTTGTATGTCGATTTTGTGTCCTGCAACTTTACTAAACTTTTTTTTTTAATCAATTCTAAGTTTTTTGGTGAGGTCCTTAGGTTTTCTAGATATGGGATCATGCCATCTGCAAAGATGGACAATTTGACATCTTCTTTTCCAAGGTGGATGCTATTTAAGTGTTTTATTTATTTATTTAGCCTGATTACTCTGCCTGGGATTACCAGTACTATATTGACTAGGAATGGTGAAAGTGGACATCCTTGTCTTGTTCCGGTCCTTAGAAGAAAATCTTTTCTGCTTTTCCCCATTTATATGATGTTAGCTGTGAGTTTATCATATATGGCCTTTATTATATTGAGATATGTTCCTTCTATGCCTTGTTTGTTGAGAGTTTTCATCATTAAAGAATGTTAAATTTTATCAAACGCTTTTTCTGTATCTATTGAGGTGATATGGTTCTTGTCCTTCATTATGTTGATGTGATGTTTTACCTTTATTGATATGTATATGTTGAACTATCCTTATATCTCTGGCAAAAATCCCACTTAATCATGGTGTATTAGCTGTTTGATGTGCTGTTGGATTTGTTTTGCTAGTATTTTGTTGAGGATTTTTACATGTATGTTCATCAAACATATCGATTTCAGTTTTATTATTGTTGCATCCTTGTCTTGTTTTAATATCAAGGTAATGCTGGCCTCATAGAATTAATTAGAGAGAATTTTCTGTGCTTCAATTTTTTGAAATAGTTTGAAGAGAATTGGTATTAGTTTTTTGTAAATTTGGTAGAATTCTGCAGTGGAGCCATCTGCTCCTGACTTTTCTTTGTTGGCAGAGACTTTATTACTGAGTCAATTTCATCATTAGTCTGTTCAGGTTTACTGTTTCTTCTCGATTCAATCTTGGTAGGTGTATATATCCAGAAATTTGTTTATTTCTTCTGGGTTTTCAAGCTTGTTAGTGAATAGTTGTTCATAATATACTCTCATCTTTTATATTTCTGTGGTATCACTTATATGTCTTGGTTTTTATTTCTGATTTTATTTGGATTTTCTTTTTTCTTGGTTGGTGTAGCTAGTGCTTTATCAATTTTTGCTTTTTTCCCAAAAAGCCAGCTCTTTGTTTCATTGGCTCCTTGTATTTTTTTTAGTCTCTATTTTGTGTAGTTCTGCTCTGATCTTTATTCTTTTCTTCTATTAACTTTCGATTTTGTTTGATTTTGCATTTTTTTTGTAATTTTTTGAGACTTGTTTTGTGTCCCAGCATATGGTCTATCCTGGAGAATGTCCCATTTGCTGGTCAGAAGAATTTGTATTCTATAGCTATTATACAAAATGTTCTATAAATATCTGTTAGCTCTATTTGGCCTACAGTGCAATTTAAATCCTATGCTTTTTTGTTAATTTGCTGTCTATATTATCTTTCTAATGCTGAGAGTGGAGTATTGAAGTCCCCAATTATTATTGTATTGGAGATTATATTTCCCTTTAGATCTAGTGAAATTTGCTTTATATATCTGGGTCCTCCAGTACTGAGTGCATATATGTTTAGAATTGTTATGTCCTCTTGCTGAATTGATCCCTTTATTACATAACAACCTTCTTTGCCTCTCTTTACTGTTTTTGACTTAAAGTCTGTTTTAATTGACATAAGTACAGCTATTCCTGCTTGTTTTTGGTTTCTGATTGCATGGAATATCTGAATATCATTTTCCATACCTTTACTTTCAGCCTATACATCTTTAAAGGTGAGATGAGTATCTTGTTGGCGCACCTAATTGGGTCATTTTTTAAAATCTATTCAGCCAGTCTGTATCTTTTAAGATAAAAGTTTAATCTATTTACACTCAAAGTTGTTATTGATATTGGAGGCTTGGTTATTCATGTCATTTTATTTACTGATTTCTTGTTGGCTTGTATTTTCTTTGTTCCTTTCTCGCTGTTTATCATTGTGCTTTGGTGGTTTTCTGTAGGGGTAACATTTGAGTTCTTTCTCTTCCTCATTTGTATGTTAACTCTATGAGTGGGTTTTATACTTTCATGTGTTTTCATGATGGCAGATAACGTATTTTTGCTTCCCTTAATCAATTTTTGTAGGGCTGGTCTAGTGATGATTAATTTCCTTAGCTTTTGTTTATCTGGAAAAGTCTTTATTTCTCCTTTATTGGTGAATGATAACTTCGTTGGGTATATACTTTTTTTCTTTGAGCACTTTGAATAAACCACTCCATTCTCTCCTGGCCTGTAAAGTTTCTGCTGAGAAATCCACTGTTAGTCTGATGGGGGTTTTCTTATAAGTGACTGAAGACTTTTCTCTTGCTGTTTTGAGAATTCTGTCTTTGACTTTTGACAACTTGACTATAATGTGCCATGGAGAAAACCTTTTGCATTTGTCTGTTTGGAAATCTCTGAGCTTCCTATATCTGGCTATCTAAATCCTTGGTAGACTTGGGAATTTTTCAGCTATTATTTCATTAAATATGTTTTCTATCCCTTTTGTTTTCTCTTTGCCTTTTGGGACACAGAAAATTTGAATATTTGGTCATGTTATGTGTTCCATCTGTCATGTAGGCTTTGTTTATTCTTTTATAAAATTTTTTATTTGACTGAATGATTTTGAAAGACCTGTCTTCAGGTTTTGAATTCTTTCTTCTGCTTGACTTAGTCTGTTGTTGAAACTCTCAAGTATATTTGTCATTGATTGAATGAATTCTTTAGTTCCAGAGTTTCTGTTTGGTTGTTTTTAATGATACCTATCTCTTTGGTAAATTTCTCATTCATATCCTGAATTGTTTTTCTGATTTCTTTATATTTTTCTTCTCTTGTATGTCACCTTCTTTAATATCATTATTTTGAATTCTTTTCCCAGGATTTCATAAATTTCTTAATGGATTCTATTGGTGGAGAATTATTGTGTTCCTTTGGTGGTGTCATATTTTCTTTTTTATATCTCCTTTGTCCTTACATTGATATCTGTGCTTCTGATGTGACAGTCACTTCTTTCAATTTTTTCAATTTGCTCTTGTAGGGGAGGACTTTTTCCTGAAAATGTATCCATGGTGTTGGCTGGGAGGGTACTTTGCCTTTGATTCTGAATGCATGCGGTGATGTGTGCATATCATTTCATTAGCTATAAACAATATCAGTAGCATCGGTGATTTCCTCAGTGGCTTAGGGTGCCATGTCAGTAGAGGTTGTGGTAAGTTATGCTTGGAATGGAGATATCAGGTGGGCCCCAGTGGTGTCAGTGGTAGGCTGACTATGCTTGTTCCTGTAACCCAGGGTGGTATACACTAGCACCAGTGTCAGTGGGTTCAGGCAGACCAATTCTTGGGCCTCTGGCTGGCTGGCTTGGGTGCCAGCAGTGGCATTAGTGGGCTGGGTGAGCGAGTGGGTCTTTGGGCTCCTGTGCAGTGTGGCATGGACAATGGTATTAGCAGTGTCAGGACAATCCCCTGGCTTCCAAGTAGTCTGCACTGGTGTCAGTAGTGACTGTGACAGACTTGGTGGGCCAGTCCCCAGGCCTGCAGGTGGGTGTCAGCTATGGTTGTAGCAGCAGGTTGGATGGGCTTATCCTCAGGCTTCCAGAAGGAATGCTCAGATGCCAGTATTGGTGGATGAGTCAGGGTAATCTCCAGGCCCCCAGATGGGGTTGGAGATGCTTGGTTGGGCACTAGGGGGAGCACTTGGTCAGGCACTAGTGGGAGTGGAGTTGGTCCAGGTGGGACTGTCCTCAGGCGCCTCGCTAATGTGTGCAGGTGCTGGCTGTAGTAGGCATGGATGGGGTGATCCCAGGCCCCTGGCAGAATGCTCAAGTGCAAGAGGAAATGGCTGTGCAGCATCCCCACTGCTGGGGAAGGTGGGCTTATTTTAAGTGGCAGTAGCCATAAATGGAAGTCTGGGAAGCAAACACTTTGGCCCCAGGTGTTGGCCTTATAAATGGGGTACCCTTTCCTTAGGACACATTTAAATGTACTGTGGTGCTGCTACTGGAGGTGAAAGGATTACTGCCAATAGTTAGGCTTTGGCCCTGGCAGCAGCAGTCAGCAGTGGTATACAACTGTGGGCAGGGGATGTCAGTGGGGTTCCAGATATATCAATGTTGGGCCCCAGGGCAGAATCCAGTTTGGTGAGGGATGCGCTCTCAAAATGGTGCCCTGCTGTAGCTGCTTAGGACTTGGAGGATATGTGGGACCCAGTGTGAGCTCCCTCTCTGGAGCAATCTGTTATGTAGTCTCCAGGCAGATCCTTATGTTAGTCTAAGGGCCTGTGAGGGTTGAGGGGCTCTCCTCTATGGCTAGGATTAAAGGAGTCCATGATGGGAATGTGTACCACTGGGGGTTATTCACCTACCCTTCTCCCTCATGGGGAAGCCTCTCCTGGCTCCAAGCCAATCCTGATGGAGCAGGCTGCCTCACTTTTTTCTCCTTCCTTGCTTTGGGTATTTTCTGTCACTTCTCTATTGAATTCCAGCATCCTCTCTTAGGTGATCTATTAAAGTATGATTATCTACTTGCTGTTTTGTTTCTTCTTTGTGGAGGAGGCAAGTAACAGATGACTAGTCAGCCATTGAAGCCCCTGGCATCACATTTTTTTCATCTACTAATCTATTAATGGACATTTGGGCTGCTTTAACCTCCAGGCTATTGAGAATAATGCTGCAATGAACATGGAAGTGCAACTACCTCTTCAAAATCCTCCTTTCAGTTTTCTTGGATATATACCCAGAAGTGGGATTGCTGGATCATATGGTAATTCTCTTTTTTAACGTGTTGACAAATTTCTTTGCTGTTTTCTCTAGCAGCTACACCATTTTACTATTTCCACCAATAATGCCTAAGTGTTCCAGCTTCTCCATGTCCTCAGTGACACTAGTTCTTTCCTCGGTGTGTGTGTTTTTTACAACGGCCATCCTAATGGCTGTGATGTGTTACTGAGATTTTCATTTCTTTTATGACTAGTGATATTGAGCATCTTTACATGTTTTTTGGTCATTTGTATATCTTCTTTAGAGAACGGTCTATTCAAATCCTTTGCCCATTTTTAAATCAGATTATTTGTTGATGTTTTTGAGTTGTAGGAATTCTTTATGCATATTGGATATTACTCCCTACATGGTTTGCAACTATTTCTTCTAATTTCTTCCAATTAAATAGGTTATCTTTTTCACTCTGTTGAGTGTTTTCTTTGCTGCACAGAAGTGTTTAAGTTTGATGTAGTCCCATTTGTCTATTATTGCATTTGTTGCCTGTGCTTTTGTGATCATATCCAAGAAATTACTGCCAAATCTAATATTATAAGATTTTCCCTGGAGTTTTCTCCTATAAAAACCTATAATTTCAAGTTTTCTATTTAGATCTTTAACCCATTTTGAGTTAATTTTTATATATGGTGTAAGGTAAGAGTCTAATTTTATTCTTTGCCTATGAATGTAAAATTTTCCAAATACCATTTGTTGAAGAGACTACTCTTTCCTTACTATGTAGCCATGGTGCCTTTGTTGAAGATCATGTAACCGTATACATTAGAGACTATTTCTGGGCTGTCTATTCTGTTCCATTAGTCTATTTGTATGTCTTTGTGTCAGTATCATACTCTTTTGATTAATGTAGCTTTGTAATATGTTTCGAAATCAGAAAGTGTGAGTTCTCTAGCTTTGCTGTTTCTCAATTTTGTTTTGGCCACTTAGGGTCCTTTGAGATTCCATATAAATTTTAGAATGTTTTCTATTTTTGAAAGAAAAACTAATGATATTTTGATAAGGATTGCATTTAATCTACAAATTACTTTGGGTGGTATGGATATATCAACAATATTGTCTTCCAATCCATGAACGTGTGATACCTTTCAATTTATTTGCATCTTTAAACATTTCTTTTATCTATGTTTTATAGTTTTCAGTATACAAGTCTTTTACCTCCTTGGCTAAGCATATTCCTAAGTATTTTATTCTTTTCAATGCTATAGGAAATGAGATTGTTTTCTTACTTTCCTTGTTGGATTATTCATGGTTAGCACATAGAAATGCAAATAATTTTTGTGTCTTGATTTTTTTTTTGCAAATTTGTGGAATTTATTAAGTCCAACAGGCTTGTTTTTCGTGGAATTTTTAGGGTTGTCCACATAAGATCATGTCATCTGTAGAATAGAGATAATTTATCTTTCCTTTCAAATTTGTGACTTTTATTTCTTTTTCTGCTTAATTGCTCTGGCTGAGACTTGTAGTATTGTTGAATACAAGTGGCAAGAGGGGGCATCTTTTCTTTATTCCTCTTATTAGATGAAAACATTCAGTTTTTCAATGTTGAGTATATTAGCTTTGGACTTTTTGTATATATAGCCTTGATTATGTTAAGGTAATTTTTATTCACACTTTGTTGGGTGTTTTTATTAGGAAAGGGTATTGTATTTTGTCAAATACTTTTTCTACATCAATTGAGATAATCATGTGGTTTTGCTTTTTATTTAATGTATTTGGTTAATGTTGTGTATTGCATTGATTTTTTTTCATTTACTGAGCCATCCTTGCATTCTAAGAATAAATCCAACCTAGTCATGGTGCATAATCCCTTTATGCGCCTTTATGCACTGAACTGGCAAATTCAGTTTGCCAATATTTTGTTGAGGATTTTTGCATCAATATTCATCAGGGATGTTGGTCTGTTGTTTCCTGTCTCAAAGTATCTTTGTCTGATTTTAATATCAGGGTAATACTGGTACCATATAGTGAATTTGGAAGTGTTCCTTCCTCTTAATTTTTGGAAAAGTTTGAGAAGGATTGGGATTAATTTTTCTTTAAATTTTTGATAGAATTTTCCAGCGAAGCCAGCTGGTCCTGATCTTTTCTTTGTTGGGAGATTTTTGATTACTGATTTATTCTCCTTGCTAGATGTAGGTATGCTGACATCTTAAAATTTACTCATGATTCAGTCCTGGTAGGTTGTATGTTTCTAGGACATTTGCTATATCCCATAAAGTTTTGGTTTGTTGTGTTTTCACTTTTCTCGAGATATTTTCCAATTTCCTTTGTGATTTCTTCTTTTACCCATCGGTTGCTCAAGAGTATATTGCTTAATTTCCACATGTAAGTGAATTTTCCAGTTTGATTTGTTTAATTGATTTCCAGTTTTATTCCGTTTTATTCAGAAAAGATATTGGTATGACTCCAGTCATTTTAAATTTGTTAAGAATTGTTTTGTGGCCTAACATGTGATCTATCTTGATGAATATTTCATGTGTGCTTGAGGAGAATGTGTATTTTGCTGTTCTTGAGTGGAATGTTATGTGTCTATCTGTTGGGTTCAATTAGTCTATAGTGATGTCTAAGTCATGTTTCTATATTGATTTTATCTGATATAAGTATGGCCACCTCTGCTTTTTTTGGTCACCATTTACATAGATTATCTTATTCCATCCTTTCATCTTCAGCCTATGTGTGTCTTTAGATTTGAAGTGACTCACCTACAGGCAACTACTTTGATCCTTTTTTTAATCCATGTAGCTACTCTGTGTCTGTTTATTGAGTTTAATCCATTTACATGTAAAGTAATTACTGATAGGGAAGGACTTACTGCCATTTGGTTAATTGTTTTCTCTATATGTCTTAATTTTGTCTCTCTTTTCCTCCCTTGCTTCCTTCCTTTGTGTTTTATTGTTTTGTAGTGGCATGCTTTATTTCTCATTTTCTTTTGTATATCTTCTATAGGTGTTTTATTTTTGGTCATCATTGAGATTTTTTAAAACTCTTAATTGCAACAATTTATTTTAAATGGATAACAACTTCAGTTAAATACAGAAACTCTGCTCCTTATATCCCCTACACCACTTTAACTTATTGATGTCACAAATTACATGTTTTTGTATTTTGCATTATTAATATATTTTATAATTATATTTATGCTTTTACATTTTAAATTCTATACCAGAATTAAAACTGTTTACATACCACCATTACAGAATTACAGGATTCTATTTGTCTGTATATTTACCCATATCAAAGACTTTTATATTTTTTATGTGCTTTCATGTTGCTGTCTGGAGTTATTTCATTTAAACCTAAAGCGTTCCTTTAGCATTTATTTTAAGACAGGTCTTTCCAGTGAGAAACTCCCTTAGTTTTGTTTACCTGGAAAGGTCTTGGTTTTTTCTTCATTTTTAAAGGTAAGTTTTGCTGGATATAGCATAGATAGACATAGAAAGATAGACAATATCCTTGGTTAGCAGGTTTTTTTTTTTTTTTAAGCTCTTCAAATAAATCATCCCACTCCTTTCTGTCTGGTAATGTTTCTGCTGAGAAACCCACTGGTAATATTATTTAAGCTCCCTAGTATGTCATGAGTTATTTGTTTCTTGGTGGTTTCAAAATTCTCTCCTTGCCTTTGACTTTTGACAATTAGATTACAATATGTTTCCGTGTGGGTTGCTTTAAATTCATCTTAGAGTGCTTTGAGTTTTTCACATTTGAATGCCCGTTTAGTCCAATTGGTCTGAGGAGTATATTGGTCCATTCTTGCATTGCTGTAAAGAAATACCTGAGATTGGGTAATTCATGAAGAAATGAGGTTTAATTGGTTCATGGTTCCTCAGGCTATACAGAAAGCATGATGCTGGCATCTGCTTGTCCTCTGGAAAGGCCTCAAGAAACTTACAATCATGGCAGCAGGCCAAGGAGGAGCAGGCATGTCACATGGCTGGAGCAAGAGCAAGAGAGTGAACAGGAAGGTGCCACACGCTTTTAAATGACCAGATCTCACAAGAACTCACACTGTCACAAGGACAGTACCGGGGGGGATGGTGCTAAACCATTCATGAGAAATCCAACATCATGATCCAATCACATCCCGCTAGGCCCCACTTCCAACACTGGGGATTATTCCTCAACATGAGATTTGGTGGGGACACAGATCCAAACTATATCAGGGAGAAATCAATGATTTCTTCAAAATAAACTCTGTATCCCTTTTTCTCTCTCTTCTCCTTTTTGGATTCTCATATGTAAATATTGTTCCACTTGGTAATGTACCATAAGTTCCTTAGGCTTTCTTCATTTTTCTTTTTGTTCCTCTGGCTCAGTCATATCAAATGACCTGTCTTGAATTTGGTCATACTGCAGGTTCTCTGGTGCTACAACAAGCCACTGAGTTGTTCTTTGTTCAGAGTGCTCCTAGATGTCAAAGTTCTGCCAGTTCCCCAACACAGCTTCAAGTAAGGCAAGCTATAAATCTATCTTTTGTCAGCCTGTGCCCAAACTAGAATGTTAGACGTATTTTCCACACTTCTCTTTCTCTCGCAAGGGAGAAGCTGCGAGTTGGGCATTTCCTCTCAATTGCACCAAGCTGTGCTGGCTTGAGGAAAGAACTTTAGTGGGTGAAATGCAATTGTTTTTCTTGTTTCAGTGCAACTGTTTATAGTTTTGTGCTTGTCTATGGTACTGTGATGTCTTAACTGGTTTCTGAATTCCTCATAAAAGCTTTTTGAATTGTATATTGCTGTTAAGTCACTGTCTACAGCAGAAGGAGGTCTGGGGCTTTCTATTCTGCCATCTTTGCTGATACAACTCTCCCAGGAGCTGTTTATGTAAACAGTGAATAATTCTGTGCCTCAGATGGCATGGCCTTGTTCCTGAACCCCAGGAGACTGTATTGCGACTCAACTATTAATGCTTGGGAGAAATTCTAAAGTTTAATCTACTGTGCTAACTTCTGGCAACATTAGATATGCCAAGTCATATGCCCCTAGTGGCAGGACCGATTGCTTCAGAGCTAGAACATGTTGCAGAGGTCTCCCTTGTTCTGGTCACCACTCAAAATTGGCACTCTTTCATATTACCCACTAAATGACTTAAGCAATATTCCCCAGCATGGCATATGCTCTCTCCAAAATGTAAAGAGGTTTGCCAAGTACTTTCTTAGTAGTAAGAGGTACAGGGTGCAATAACTTGTCATTTACCTTGGAGGGAATATCCCAAAATGCCCTAGACTGTTGGTTTCCTCCTGATAATTTGGAAGGTGCTTGAATTGTACAGATAATATTTCTGATCCTTTGTCATGCATGTATCTTACTAGGCCATCCAGAGTACTTATCACTTCCTATTTACTAGATTTAGTTTATATGATGTCATTACTATCATAACATTATTACCATTTAGCTTACATGATGTCATTACTTTCATGAGGAGATCACCATGATGTTCTGCAAAATGTCAAGATTCTCAAGGTACCTTGCTGAGAAAGGAAAGCTAACAAAAGCCTAGGACAAGTCGATATATAAGGTTTGCAGTTCATTCTAAGTGAATGAAGACAGCTTTTGATGCTCCTTCTTGATGGGCATTGAAAGAAGGCATGTACGATATCAAGAGCTGTATGCCAAATTCCAGAGGATGTTTTGATCTTCCTAGTAAATCTTCTACTTCCAGCACATTGACTATGCTTGTGGCTACCAGTTGATTAAGTTAATGTAGTCCAACATCATCTTCCATGACTTTCACCATCTAATTTTCACCAGATTGGTGAATTAAGTAGGGACGTGATGAAGACTACCTCTTCTGCTTTCCTTAAGTCTTTGAGGGTGACGCTAGTCTTTGCCATTTTATCTAGCATGCAGTATTGTTCCTGATTTGCTATCTTGGTGGGGTTGTGAGGGAATTTTAGTATCTTACACTTGGTCTTTACTATCCTTTTATAATGGGTCTTTTCCAAAGTTTAGGAAATGTTTGTAATTGTATCCATCCTGATTATGCCTCAAGGAACTGAGGAGAAACCACAGGGTGGGTTGGTGGACCCACTATTACTGTGAGATGGACTTCAAACCACTCCACTGTCATCTTTTCATGACACTGTATCAGAGGGGTCATTACGGCATTTTGTGTTCCCTGAAATCAGTTTTAACTCAGACCCATTATCTAGCAGCTCTCGAAAAAGATAGCCTCCTTTCCTTATCATAGAGTTTCTTTGGGAAATGGGTGTAGATTCTTTTAGGGAATATACTTGTATTGCAGGGACTTTCCTCAAAGAGACCTAGATTTCCATGTAGTAAATAGGCTCTACATCTGAGAACTACTGCACATATGGCAACTGGGAAAAAGATTGTGACTTACAATTGTAGTGCCTAAGATCAAGCTTCTCACTTATTGTTGATATTTTCTGTTTTATAAATCAAGCAATACTTTCATTGGTTGTTCATTTATCTTACCCCAAAGAAAATTATGATCTATGGGCTTTGCCATAGACCTCTGTGAGCCAAGACCCCTGTTGCTCTCCATCATGTAAGAATATCTATCTCGCCTAAGTAGTTAAGTACTGCCACATGGTCTCTGAAATTCCAGAATCTTATATTCCTACCTCCGTTAGGGATTCCAGATCCACTGCAGTACCTCCTGTCATTAAGCCTGGGTACAGAGGAGAGCCGCTCCTGTGCTTCTCAGTGGTGATGACGCTACTCTCACTGGCAAATTTCTTATTACTTTAATAAAAAGAATTGGAAATATAACATGGCAGATTTTCTGAAAAAGAGAGATCTTAACCAATCCATTCTGCTACATTCACCTCTCAGAACTATATGACTCCTTCTCTAATACTCTGCCAAGTTTCCACCTCATTTTCTGTAGGCCTTCATTGTTTCCAGGCTTCAAAGAGCCATTCTCACAACACATGAGGATGGACTCCAGGCATTCTTGCCAAAATGTTAAATCATGATTCAAGAAAGAGGATCCCATATCAGTAAACTCTCCTCTATCCAGCCTTATATTTCATCCTTTCTGGTCTACTACCCTCAAGCTCCAGTCCAAAACATGTTCTTCTAGTTCCTGCTAGAACATCGTACCAGCCAAGTCCTGACGCTTGGTGAATAATCTCTTTATTCTTGTAGCAAGAAGAATAAATTATTACTTTGAGGCATACTGTCTTTATATATGACTCTCTAAACAATGAAGGAAGGCAGAATAGATGTTGAGGAGATAAGCATCATTTTGTGAGATACTTATGAAACCTCTGAATAATGCATGACAAATTACCCCCGAAACCTAGTATCTTAAAGTAATAAACATTTATGATCTCACACAATTCTGAAGATTAGGACTCTAGAGCAGCTTAGCTTGAAGATTCTAGCTCAGGATTTCCCATGTTGCTGCAGTCAGGATATTGGCTGGGGCTGTATTATCTGAAGCCTTATCTGAGAATCTGGAGGAGCCAGTTCCAAGGTGGTCACTCACATGGATGTTCACTGGAAATCTCAGTTCCTCACCATTAAGATACCTCCATAAGGCTGCCTGAGTGCCATCGCAATGTGGCAGATAACTTCCCCAGTGTGTGTAATAGAAAAGAGAAAGGAGGAACAATGCACAATGCCTTTTATTTCCATTGATTAATTGATTTGAATGATTGACAGGGTCCCACTTTGTCACCCAGGCTGGAGTGCAGTGGCACAATCATAGCACATTGTAACCTCAAACTCTTGAGCTTAAGCAATCCTCCTGCCTCAGCCTCCTGAGTAGCTGGGACTACAGGCACACACTACCATGCCTAGTCTTAGAAACCACATACTGTCACTTCTGCAATATTCTATTGTTAGACATGAGTCACTAAATCCAGCCCTCATTGAAGGGGCAGGGCTTTAAGCTCTACTTTTTGAAGAGAGGAGTATAAAATAATTTATGGGCTTATTTTAAAACTACCACATAAGATTTGATTGTATCTTATACATGCTTGTGCAACCATCATATGTAGCATTTTGCTAGTACATAAAAAATGTTCAACTACTCTTTGCTAAATAAATTAATGAAGAAATGAATGAGTTAGCGGATGGACATTACAAATAGGAAAATACCTAAAGAGCTCTAAAACTCATGACTAGAATTCTTTGGCTCATAATGTTTACTAAAATATTGTTAGTACCTGTAGTTGAAATATGTAATTTGCCTGTGTTACTTGAACTATAACTGAAAGAGATCTCTTTTATTGCAAAGAGAGAATTCTTTCCCATGCTACTAGTGTTTAACTTGTGAATTGTCCTGGGATTCTCTGTAAAGCAAAAACCATTAGATAGGTCATGAAACATGCAGCCTCCATCACAGCAATGATCTGAGCTGCATGTGTACTGTAAATATATTTCTAATACTTTTTCCAGTGGCTTCTATAGCAATGCTCTGCAGTGTGACATTGGTGGGCAATCTAGCTTTCATTTCAAGTTTGCCTACTGTCCAGGTGTCCACTGAACATAAGCCAGTCCCAACTACTAAAAAACAAACAAACAAAAAACACCTAACAACAACAACAAAAAAACTAATCCACCCTGTTCCTAAAAACCACCACATCATGTTGCTAAAGAGTATCTTTTAGCCAATAAAAACTTCCTTATATACTTCTATGTGACTTTTAAAATGTAATTGCTTTTATTTAAATTCAAATGGCATAAAAGGTCCTGCATTAGTTAATTTTGTTTGTTTATAGATATTTTGTTTCTAGGAGTTTCACCAAACGTTTGGGCTGCAGCCAGCCAAGAGCTATACTTGGGCTGCCTCCCAGTTCTGAATACTGTGGACCCAAGCCCAAATTTCAAGGTCAAGGGACTAGAGACCACTGGGCTGTTTGGAACTATTAGAATTGAGACAGAAAGGGCCCCAGTGACCTCAGCAGTGAAGAGAAAAACCTGAAAGTCCATTGATTTGTAGCACCTCATCTCTCCCCACTTGGAGCACTAGATTTAGGATGCAAGAAAATTCACTGTATGAAAAGTTGATGTTTTTAAACCTCTGGTTAAAAATGAAGGACATAAAGCCTGGAAGTCAGGGGAACATGACAATTAAATAATCTAGAGTAACTAATTGAGAACTTGGCCAAAGAGCTATGGATTCATGGAGAATGGTAGATAATCATGAACTTAACGTATTCTGTAAATGACCTTAGATCTAATGCCAGTCCCATGACTCTACAAGAACCATATCATCTTGTATTTCATTAGTGTTTGTCAGAGCTATAATACCCCTTGAGTTACTGAGCCACTTTCTTTCATTTGACCCAAGAATATTAGGTTAATGACCAAAATATTACCAATATTTCTGAAAGACAAGAGAGGACTATCCCTCAATTATAAGAAGGGTGAGAGAAACATTCAGATAGATTAAAAATGACTGTACAGAAGGCCCAGATTTGGGTAATGACAAAGCCAGGAGTAAATTGTGAGTTTCCTGCCCTCCAAACACACACTCTCCATTCAAGTACATTTTGGCCTGTGCTTTTGGTGATTTTCTCTGTGGTCTTAAGTGGATTTTTACAAGATCTGTGGAGTTTCTGCATGCTGTTACATATGTTTTAGTAATGCTGATGTTAAGTTTTGCATGTGTTTTATTTTATTCCCCTAGTAGTCTTAAAAATAGGACAAGAATTATTTAAAAGGGGAAAGAGATTATTATTTCAGTTTAAGAGTCCCAATAGGATGGGGAAAACTTGGAAAGTGTAAAGAGTTCTATATTCCTATATAAGTGTGACTCGAAAGCCACCCTTGGTTTTACACCATCTCTACCTATAATTTTACTTTTCCCCAGCATTTTTTTCAGACCTGCACAGCAGCTAATCCTCATAAAGGAAAAGCCACACATGAAATTTAAACTCCAGCACTTTGGTTAAAATTCCTGTAGGACAATATCTTCTCCCTCTGCCTGACCATATTAAATTGACTGCATGGAAGAAAGTCAAACTTCTCCCTCCAATATTCACCTTTGGATAGACTCCAAGCATTAACTAAGAAATGTATAGAAGTTTAGGTGTGATCAGATGTAGATTATCTAAACAATGCTTTTGTGGTCTTCAGAAGTAACAATTCATGGAGGGAAACATTGAGAACCTTAATAGCACACATTGAATTGAGCTACTTATCTAATTTTAATAAATGGCAAGATATGTAAGATGTAGACATCTGTGCTTGTAAGGAATTCCAGAGAAACCTTACAGAGGGTCAAATTTTATGTTTTATTTTATCCAAACAAGGTCAGATATTAGAAGGCTTCTCAGAGACGTTTTCTTCCCCAAATCCATTGTTTAGTAGGTATTGGAAGAAAAAGCCTTATGAATGAAAGACTTCAAAAGCCTTTGTTTTTGGTCTGAGTCATGAAACCCTAAATTGTTGAAGTCTAAAAAGCATAAAGACCAGTAGATTTCACATTTTCTTCGTTAGAGCCCTGGGATATCTCAGAGGCCATATTGGAGAACAAAGACCATGGTATGAAGCTCCCAGTCAATGGGAATAAGTTCTCCCTTTTTCAGTCTTCTCTGAGAATCTGCATAAATTTTGTTTGAAGAAAGAATTCTGCTGCTAAGAAAAAGTCTAAAAACTACTGATATATAATAGATTTCCTCATTTTTTATGTAGAAATAATTGAGACCAAGAGGGGATAGTGACTTTTTATTATTATTTTGCTGCTCAATGTGGTATTGTACATAAGTCTATAGCCTCAATGACCCACCAGCAGTAGCATTTATACTGCACAAACTTGGGATGTAAGAAAAGTTATTGTCCAACTTCATACACCATTTCATCCTTTCTAATGTTCAATTTCAATTTCCCCTTATGGTTATTCAAGCAGAAGCTGCTAGTTGTCTACCCAATATCAAGTATCCCCCTTTTCCTTAATAACAGAACCCTAATTTTATTCCAGAACATATGCCTAGCTAAAACACTACATTTCACAGCCTCCTTTGCAGCTAGGTGTGACTATAGTACTAAATTCTGGCCAATGTGATGAAAGCAAAATTATTGTGTGAAACAGCTAAGGAGGCTCTTTAAAAAGAGCTAACTCGGTTTAGAGGTGGGTTTTTTTTTTTTCCTTTTCTCCTCTCCTTTTGGAGGTCTGGAATGTACATTCCATAGCTGAAGCCTACAGTGACAGAGCAGAGAGACAAAAGGTGCTTCCATTTCAGATGAGGCTTTTGGGGGGCTTTCATACAAGACTTGTGCTTATTTAGGAGAGTAATTATTTGTGTGTTTAAGCCACTTAAGATCTCCACGCATATGTTATACCTTATCTGTGCTTTCCAGAAAACAACTGGTCTTTCTCTTAATACCCATTATAAATAAAAATGAATCAAACCTCTTTTTCCTTCCCTCAGAGTCTCAGACCTTTCAAAATAAGTTAATAATATTTTTCGTAATGACTGACAACGTTTCCTTTTCCACAGAACATTTGTCAAGAACATTGAACATGTTTTCCTTATAACCAGTCCATTTAGTAGTGTTCAGAATTTCCAACAGAATGTAAGCTAACTGGAAAGACATCTGACATTTTATTTTATTTTTATAATTTCAACTTTTATTTTAGATTCAGGGGGTACATGTGCAACTTTGTTACATGGGTATATCGCATGATGCTGAGGTCTAGAGTATGACTGATCTTGTCACCCAGGTAGTCAGTATAGTACTCAACGGTTAGTTTTTCAACCCTCGCCCCACCCCCATCCTTTTCCCTCTAGTAGTCCCCAGTGTCTGTTGTTACCATCTTTTTGTCCATGTGTATGTACCCAATGTTTAGCTCCCACTTATAGGTGAGGACATGCTGTATTTGGTTTTCTGTTCCTGCATCAGTTCGTTTAGAATAATGGCCTTCAGGTGTATACATGTTGCTGCAAGGGACATGATTTCATTCTTTTTAATGGGTACATGGTATTCCATGATGTATATATACCATATTTGCTTTATCCAATCCACTGTTGATGGATACTTGGGTTGATTCCATGTCTTTGCTATTGTGAATAGTGCTGTGATGAACACGTAAGTGCATGTGTCTTTTTGGTAGAACAATTTGTTTTCTTCTGGATATATATCCAATAATGGGACTGCTGGGTAAAATGGTAGTTTTGTTTTAAGTTCTTTGAGAAATCCCCAGACTGCTTTTCACAGTCGCTGAACTAATTTACATTCCCAGCAGCAGTGTATGAGTGTTCCCTTTTCTCTGCAACATCACCAGCATCTATTGTTTTCTGACTTTTTATGTTAATAATAGTGATTCTGACTGGTGTGAATTAGTATCTTATTGTGGTTTTGATTTGCATTTCTGATGATTATTGATGTCAAGCATTTCTGCATGAGTTTGGCCATTTGTGTGGAGAGATTTTTTGTTTGTTTGTTTGTTTGTTTGTTTTTGAGACAGTTTTACTCTTGTCGCCCAGGCTGGACTGCAATGGCAGTATTTCAACTCACTGCAACCTCCACTTCCCAGTTTCAAGCAATCCTCCTGCCTCAGCCTCCCCAGTAGCTAGGATTACAGGTGCCCACCACCACACCCAGCTAATTTTTGTATTTTTGGTAGAGACGGGGTTTCACCACATTGGCCAGGCTGGTCGTGAACTGCTGACCTCAGGTGATCCACCCGCCTCGGCCTCCCAAAGTGCGGGGATTTCAGGTATAAGCCACCACACCCAGCCGAGAGATTTTTTTTTAAGTGGGTGAACATTTCTTTTCCCTTGGATTTCCCCTTGCAAGCAACTATCTACTGAAAGATCTTGGTTTTAAAGTACAGGTTCCAGGAAAACCCAAGTGCTTCCCTTTGAAATTGATAGAGACTTTGAAATTCTACCAAGTATTTAGGGTGTTTATTAAGTGATTTCGTATTTTTAACTACTATCTATATTTTGAGAAAAAACTTAAGACTTGTGTTTTCAAAACTTGAAATATATACACAGAAACTCTTGTAGATATTGGATTTGTCAATAACTATAACATGCAGTGAGGACACTTCTGACTTTAGAATCATTGGGACGTAGAATTTTAGAACTAGATACATGCTGGAGACCACATGGTGCAACTCCTTTGTGCACAGTGGGTAGCACAGAACTAGAACATCAGGCTTCTGCAGACTTCATTGTTCTTTTCTTCAGCACAGAGCTTCTGCTTTTAGTATAAGAAAGATGTGGCCAGGCGCAATGGCTCATGCCTATAATCCCAGCACTTTGGGAGGCCGAGGCAGGTGGATCATGACGTCAGCAGATCAAGACCATCCTGGCTAACATGGTGAAACCCCATCTCTACTAAAAATACAAAAAATTAGCCGGGTATGGTGGCATGTGCCTGTAGTCCCAGCTACTTGGGAGGCTGAGGCAGGAGAATCGCTTGAACCTAGGAGGCGGAGGTTGCAGTGAGCCGAGAGTGCGCCACTGCACTCCAGCCTGGGTGATAGAGGGAGACTGCATCTCAAAAAAAAAAAAAAAAAAAGTCTGTTCAGCATGTACCAATAGAAAATATAGGAAAAGGAAAAACAGGTTGGACTCTAGATCTCTATTTGGCTTTCTGTCCTTTATGAATCTTCCTATATAAAGGACCTTTATTGCCTCACTTCATTCTGGGTGCATATTTATTCACTGTAAGAAGGAAGTGAAGGCAAGATCTCAGCTATTTGCATTTAGTCCTTTCTGAGTTTAATCTCTCTGAGCCTATCATTTGCTGAAAGAAAGTAGCTGACTTAGCTGGGTGCAGTGGCTCACATCTGTAATCTCAGCACTTTGGGAGGCAGAAGAGGGCAGATCACTTGATCCCAGGAGTTCGAGACCCACCTGGGCATCATGGCAAGACTTGGTCTCTACAAAAAAAGGAAAAATAAGAAGCTGGGCATGGTGGTGTACACCTGTAGTCTACTTGGTAGGCTGAGGTGGGAGGATCACCTGAGCCCAGGGAGGTTGAGGCTGCAGTGAGCTGTGATTGCAACAGCGTGAGACCCTGTCTAAGAAAAAAATAAAATAAAAAGAAAGTAGCTGAACTTTTTAAGTCACAGGAATGACTTCCAAGCACCATTCTGAAGATCACATTTTCTGGTCATTAGTTTGTGTCTAAACACCCCAGACAGGGTAAGTTTTTCTACAGCTGTGCCTAGAGAACATGATATAGATATAGATGAAGAGAGAGAGGGAGATACAGCTATGAAAATGTTTATCTTCTCTTTTATATTCTAAGCGCTTTCAGAAAACTCATGAAAAAATTTTGTATCCTTCTTATAGAGCACAGTGCCTGGTACCTACTTATAGCATGTTTTTATCATGAGAACTGTGATTGTGAATCCCTAGGTTTGTTTTTATACTCACTTCATCAGTTTTGTACTAGAGATGAGTTTTTGGTTGATGTTGTTTGCAAAAATTTACCTGAGGAAACAAAAAAACCCCACAATCCATTCATCCAAAAACCAACGATTATTCTTACTGTGTTCCAGGTTGAAAAGATGAAGACTCTGCCCTTCAGTGTTCTTACAGGCTAATAAAAAAATGTGCAGTATTTTCTACACATACAAAATTATAGAGATTCTAAGAATAGCCTTCATAGTCAGTAAGCTATTTCATGAGGGGAAGAGTAAGAAAACCAACTTGCACAGAGCAGAGGGCTCATATTAGAGCCACAGTGAAACACACGTGGAATAAACAAAAGGGATCCATTCGAGGAAGGGCCGTAACTGTCTGCATGAGAAGTTTAACCTGTCCTGCTCAGCCATAGGGAGCCATGGGAGATTTTTAAACATGGAAGTGACAAAAGTAACTAGCAATGGTGTACTGGAAGGATACGCAGGAGGAAGTTGCTATAGGCAGAGAGGCTAGTTGATAATTTCTGTCATCAAAACCTGTAGTGAATTCAGAGACAACAAAATACAATTTCATTTATTCAGAAAATATGTAGTACGCACCTTATTTGGGTCAGACTCTGTTTTAAGAATTGAGAAAGCCTCTGTGTTCCTGCCTTCCAGAATACACATAGCAGTGGAAAGCACTGGTTATGTGTGTATGAGAAGGGGGCCAATATTTAATGTAAGAAATGGAAGAGAAAAATGGGAAACAAATGAGTATAAAAGACATAATAGTATGCTTAAAACACTCAAAATCAGATATATATTAACATCATAATGAGATAGCCTTAGACTGGGAAAAATTGTAAGTGGTTGACAATAGCAGGTGTTAGCAAGAATGTAAAACAATAGGGACCCTAATAATTGCCCATCTGAGTGTATATTAGTTTAACTGCTTTCAAGAATAATCTGACAAAAACAAAGCTGAAAGAATATATTCTTTAACCAAAATTAAAGCTACCTACATATTTATCAACAGGAAAATACAGAAAAAAAACTAATTAGCAATGCAAATGAATGGACTGGAGCTATATTTATTAATGTGGATGAATCTTTCAAATATAATGTTGAGTAAAATCAAACTATAGAAAAATATGTGTAAAATATCTTTTATACAAAATATGCAATCATTCAAGTCAATGTTGTATATTAATTTTAGAAAGAAATGCTTGAGAATAAAAAGCATGTGATTTAGCATAGGGATTGATTACTTCCGGGAGCCTAGGGGAATGAGATTGGGGATGGTATAGAGAGGCTTCAAGTTTATAGGTCATTTTTAAATTTCCTGTGCTATGTAGTGTATCATGGGCATTCACCATATTCTTTATATCTTTTTGTACATCTTAAATAATTTTTAAAAACCTAACCCATTATATGCACATCATGGACCCATGACAATAGTCTAATGTTGAGAAGTTGGCTGGTAGCACACTGTTTTTCAGGAAATTTCTCCCCTGCACAACAAACTTCCTTATTATTTAAAGAAAGTGGCTTTCTACTGGACACTGAAATTTCCAGGGAAGAATTAAAGCTACCAAGAACTACCACCATGGAATATAATGACGCTTTTTAATTTAAGATTATATTGGGGAAGTGTCTTAGAAATGGTCTACTTCTTGATCACATCCATATAGTCAAGAATACCTAGGCAAGATACTGACTTTGATAATGCCAGCTGATGTTCTGTCTGTGAACTGGTGAAGATACTGCTAAATCTATTTAAGGACTTAACATAGGTCCAATTTTCTACTTCCTGACAAAATAATGGTGATGAATGGGATGAGACTTCCCTAGGGTTCTTCAGAGTCTCTAGGGATAGGACTTTTACTATCAAGAAATGCTCTCCCTCGACCCACTTGGATACAAAATCCAGCCCTGGATTTTATATTAGGTGTCTCCTGGCTGCCTGTTTCAGCTGGCAGTCTCCCCCTTCTAAACAACATGGCCCTGTTGTCTTCCGGGTGGTGTTTCTTTCCAAGACCAGACTTTCTCATTAGTTTGTGAAATAGCCTACTGGACTAACAGAATTCTCAGCTGAAATTCCCAGCCCTAGAGAGTCATGCTGAGGATGCTGTGAAGCCAATCTGGGCTGCTTTCTCATGGGTACAGCCACAGAAGAGTCAAGAGCTTAACATTTGGAATCTGACCTGCATTTAGATGCATCTAGTGGACCAATGGCTACTTGATTGGTGGAGGGTTTATTGAGATGCTGTTTTTTAATTATAAATCATTGAAATCCACCCCAGAATTATTACTGAAAACAGGAGCCTGGAGTTCTAATAAAATTGGAATTTCTATGTTTTTCTGTGAGGGAAGCAAGGCAAGGATTTTAGAGTCATTCCATACACACTAAATAAATCATGTTCCCTCGCTCTGGGGCAGAGGGACCCAGCACTTCCTGTGCTAGGCCCAGCTGATCGACCTCTATAAAATCTTAGCAGGCACTTAGGTCCCAGCAGGAGCTCTGCTGGGATGAAATCATGTAGTGCCTGAGGACAGCATCCGTCCCCCCATCCCCATGGCAACCGTCAATCTCACAGGAACAGAAGACATGCCTTAGGTTTGAGATTTCTCTCAGAATGCCCTCTGGGCTGGAAATGTCTTATTAAATTTCAAAGATTCAAGTACTGAGACCCAAGGGAGATGGTTTGCTCTTTTCTTGTACTGGGGTAGGGAAGTGAGCCACTTTCTCTTTATTGGGAAACCTTGCCTGATGGGTAGAAGTTGTAGGTGGGCATATTTTGCTCAAAACAGACTTCTCCATATAAAAAGCTCTGCTCAGTAAAGGAGTGACCTATCTTGGAAATTCAAGCATCCTCTGACATTATAATATTAAAGCAGAGGACAGGTGTCTGTTAGTCGAAGATGACAAAAAAATTGAGTGAGGTTCCCAACAATGGTAAGATTATGTCTGGATTCCCCCACAAAGACTGGGTTGAATCTAGTGGGGTCCATGACTTATGTTAGTGTCCACTCACGTTGACCAATCTCCAGAAGGAAAATGCTGGATATATGGGAAAGTTAAGGATTTAAAGAGACCATACATGATGAATTTTAAAAACAGGAGACATGGGAGAAGGACTACGTGTGGACTCTGGTTTTGTCTTTGCCACTAGATGGCTGAGTAACCTTGGACCAGTTATTTAAATGCCCAAGCCTAGGGTTGCTCATTATGTAAAATGAAGAGACTAAGCCAGATGTTTTCAAACACCCTTTTCTACTCTCAGAATCTCAAACTCAGATCCTTGACAAATGAACAGAGGGAGGGAAATGAGCTATAGAGCCATGTCATGAATGGAAATTCAGCATTACTAGTTAGTGAAGATAGGCCTCAACCAAAAGGTATTTGATAGATGTAAACATTAATCAAAGTGATGGATTTCTTCTAAAAAAAAAGAGGAATATGGTGACCACTCTAAAACTTTGACTTTTTTAATTTGGATTTTTCCAAACTAAAAAAAAAAAAAAAAAAAAATTAAAAGTAGCATGCCAAGCAGTTCTGTCTTATCACTCTCTTCCTTTGTGTTCTTGACAGCAACCTAATAATTTCTGGAGAGACATGAGATATAGGTAGATAAGTGAATAACTGTTGCTTAATGAAAATCTTCCCCATCTTTGTTTTAAACTATATAACAGATTAGGGGTCCTGAGAACAAGTCATCCTCCTGTTAATTCTGATATCCCATTCTCATGTCTTAACAGTCCATTTTATAACACAAGAGCAGAGAATTGCTGATTCCAGGTAGATAGGGTCAGGATACCTGGTGTGGGATGTAGGTGATCAAATCCTCTTTCAGGGAAAGTGCCTTTCGTAATTTTCTCCAAAGAGCAAAGGACTGCCTTTGAGTTCCTAGTCCATAGTTCTAGCAGGGTCATGTTTAGTAAGTGTAACAACCTCATGAAAAAGCTGTACAGTCTTAAAATAATGTTTTTTGGCAATATCATAATTTTCTATGTCCCCAAATCCCAGGAGTCCTCTAGGTTCAGAAATGTTCACATTCTGGTTATGTGAGATAAGTATGAAATTAACTTCATTTCATATTATAAAAACCTATGATAAAGCATATTTGACCAATACAAGCTTTATGTTTCTAGTACCTTCATTACATTTTGACTTTATTGAACTTAATACCATATGTGATATCTGGAATGGGAAATTGAGCTGACTCAGTACTGCCATTTATATTTTATAATTAGGAATGGCGTGTAATATATGGACATTTGTGCCTTCTTTTTTTTTTTAAGAGCCTATTTTTGAGCCAAACAAAACCCTCAATTAGTACAGATTTGAGTTAAGTCAGCAGCTTGTAGTTAAGGAGGGAGAACTCCCTGTCAAATGCCATTTCTTAATTTAACAAACATGAAATGTTTCTCCCTGTAGTGGTGATCTCTGGGATTTCCTGGTACTTACATTTCACCTCAAAGAATTCCCACGTCTTCTATAAAAATCGGTATTACCTTTAATATTTCCAATATGATCAGTCTTCTCTCTGCAAATAGATTTAGAAATCTAAGTTTCTTCCAATAGATTTATCTTTGTCATGAGAAAAGGCTTGTAAATCACTAAGCAACAAACAAATATTATTTGTCATTTGTAATAATCTTATTACAACAAATGTCATAGGAAAACTCTACAAAAAATTATTTAATCCAGAAGCAAGTTTGCTACCGTAAGTATTTTTCCTTGTAAACCTACAGAGCTTCACTCTGTAGGTTATCTTTAGGATGCCTTTTGTTTTTCCTCTCTTCCATTTTCTAATGTTTTCTTGTGAGTAGTTGTGAAGACATTTTTACTTGCATCTTTGCTTCCTTTATAGACTCTCTTCATCTTAGGAAATGTGGGAAATTCCATTTGCTGAAGATTGGTCTCCAGCAAGGAGAATACAGAGAGAATGCTTTTCACATTTCTAGAGGGATTAGAGTGGGTTATTCTTTAACACTGAAAGAATCCTTTTATAGGTCATCAGAAAAACAAAACAAGCAAGCACTAAAATATAATGCCCTGGAGCCAATGTAGGTTCCACAGACTTAGAAAGTTAATTTTTTTTTTTTAATAAGCCCCAGTTTCTCTAATCTGCTCACTTACCCTCCAAGTATCCCTTGGGTTTCTCAATCTATAAGCACCTGGTGCCTTCATGCTGTCTCTTTTAAGCCTCAATAAAAAAACTAAAATTATATTTTGGGTTCATCCTGGGATAGAAATGATAATTACATAAAGCATTTACTGGCAGAACGCTGCTATGGTTTGAAAGTTTGCGTCCCTCCAAAATTCATGTTGAAGCTTAATCTCCAATACAATAGTATTAAGAGGTAGGGCCTTTAGGAGGTCATTGGGTCTTGAGGGCTCCTCCTTTGTGAATGGCATTAAGGCCCTTATAAAAGAGGCTTCACACAGTGCTGGGCCCTTTTTCATCTTCCGCCCTTCTGCCGAGTGAGGACACTGTGTTTGTCCTCTCAGGAGGATGCGACAAGGCGCCATCTTGAAGCAGAGAGCAGCTCTCACCAGACACTGAACCGGCCAGCACCTTGAACTTGGACTTCCCAGCTTCTACAACTGTGTGAAATAGACTTCTAAAGTTTTTAACTTGCCCAGTCTGTGGTATTCTGTTATAGCAGTGCAAATGAACTAAGATAAAGGTCATTTGTATTTAATAGGGAAAAAAGTTTAGGGTTGAAGGAATAAGTTTTTGTGAGAATGTTGAGTGGAGCCATGGGTGGGGGTGATTTGTCAGAGATTTGAGCCTTCTCATTTCGCTCTCTGCTGCCATCAAAGCTACCTATGCTTGAGGCTAGCCCAAGGCTGGACCTCTTTTCACCACAGAGACAAGATTCATGATCTGACCACTTATTTACTATAACACACAGATTTCATCAAGGTAGGAAGAAGTGAGAAGTTGAGAAAAAGAGGCTTTGAGCAGACAGGGAGAGTACCTGTTGGTTTAGCAAGATTCAAAACACTTTCCAGAGAAGACCTCAAAGATCCACAGTTTCGACTGTGAGTCCTCATGCTATGGAGTGTCTCTGACTTCCTTTAATGTGATCCTGTCATGGTCTATAAAATCTACCTTAAAATTAATTTCTGAAGAATTGGGATGGCCTCACCACCATCTGCTTCTTACATTCCTGTGCACTTGGAGCTGGAAGCCCCTGGAGTGATGAGCCTGGAATACCAGGCCTCATATTAACAATTTCATGGGGTTAACAACTGTGATTTTCTGACTTTCTGCCTTCTTTACCTTCATGCTTCATTTATTATTGCCTAATGGTTCTGATAATTGAGGAATAGATTGAGAGTAAGCGCAAGGCCAACTAGGGGCAAAGGACAGAAACTTGTGTTTTCTAGAAAAAAACAGAGCAGGAAAACCTTTTGGTTCTTTGGCGGTTCCTGGAGGAAATTACTTTCTGTACCTCAGCCAGTTGTCATGTCCCAAGCAAATGGACAGATCAGATATTTAGCCCTATCCTGATCTTAGCTAATTTAGTGTGCTCTGTGGTTGCTGATGTGTAACTGGCCAATGGTTTAGGCTTAGAACTACCTCCTAAGCCCTGCTCTCAGATGCAGATAACCAAGACCGTGTCCTCTGTGGCCTTATGTCAAAAGGAGACCTATACTAAAGAGGTTAGGCCAGAGCTGACTAGTCACTTGGAGGAATAAGTAGAAAAAAGAAATGCTTATCACTTTATACCTTAGAGAGAAGAGGCCAAGAACAATTGCTTTGTATAATGAAGAGAACTAGGCCCAGTAAAAGACCAGGTTTCTTTGGAGTGGTTAACCTCAGGGAGCAAGAAAATTCTATAGCAGTCCAAGAAAATAAGATGAAAGCAGCACACGGGTACTTCCTAACATGACTGAGGTTTCTGTCAATTTGAGCAGCGTTCCTAGAATCCCCCAGCACCACTTCCTAATTTGACCTTTCATGATTTGAGACCTTAAACCACAAAACCAAACTACAATCCCTATAAAACTTTGGCACAAGAGGGTGGACTCAGGAGGATTTTTATCCTTAAGCCTATATTTTCTGACTTTGGCTGGCTTATGTGTTATCCTTAAAATATCTGGAACACATTTTTTATCATTTGTGATTTACTCTGAAGGTCTGGGGCTAAAGCAACAGAAACGGCTCTTTTGGGGATCATTTCACACATTGGAGCCTAAGAAATTAGGAATCCCTTAAAATTGAAGTTAGTAAAATGAAATTTCCAAAAGCAGTGGATTTTGGGATTTTCTATGGTCTTATCATCTGCAGACTGGTTTAAAAACCCAAATTATTATGACATATATAAAGTGCAAGTATGAATTGGTAGTCAAATCTTACCCAAACCTTTCAAATAATTATCAAATGTGTGCTTTCCCAGTCACCAAGGGGCAGGTTTGTCATGCTTAGTCCCTAAGATTCTTCTTTATAATTCTTGTTCTCATTTTTTATTTTCTTCTCTGAACTTCTGCAGTCTGAACACTGGTCTACAGTCAGCAAATATTTGCTGCTGGAAGCAGGAATCACTCCAGCTATTTTAAGCAGAAAGAGATTTAATACAGAGATTTGAATGCTCATGCATTGTTGGAAGGGTTACCAGAATGAGCTTTAGGCTGAGTATCTAGGAGTACCGCCAATAAGATCTCCTAACTGGCCTATCAGAAGGAAAACATACCTTTCCCACGTTCCAAACAGAGAATGGGAATTTCTAGGATCAATATAAAAATATTTTTTTGAGACAGGATCTTGCTTTGTTGCCCAGGTTGGAGTGCAGTGATGCCATCGTAGTTCATGGCACCACTGCACTCCAATTAGATTCTTCCAGTTGGATGCATGGTATGAGAGTTGGAGGAATCTCATTGTATGAGACCCAACAGAAGTGAGATGGAAACCTTCTGAGTGCTGCTACTCTTGTTTTTGCCGCCAAGCTAGATTGTGGAGATGGGTTTTTCTATGACTACATTGTAGCCTCCAGTCACTAATTCTCTGGCTATGGTTGCAGACCATAGCCTGGAAGTAGTTGCAGACACGGTAGCAATGGCTTTCAAAAAATCTGAGTGACAGGTCTGTAGATAACTATTGAGCCTAGGGCTAGTGTGGTGGCTCATGCCTGTGATACCAGTGCTTTGGGATGCCATGGTGGGAGGACTGCTTGAGGCTGGGAGCTTGAGACCAGCCAAACAACATAGCAAGGCCCTGTCTCTACTGCAAGTAATAAAAAATTAGTCAGGCATGGTATGTGCATGTAGCCCCTGCTACTCAGGAGGCTGAAGTAGGAGGATTGCTTGAGCCTGGGACATCAAGGCTACAGTGAGCTACAGTGGGACCACTGCACTCTAGCCTAGGCAACAGAGTGAGACCTAGTCTCAAAAAAAAAAAAAATTGAATGACTTTCCTTCTTATTAGGTAGAGTATATTTTTAGCATAGTTTATTTTTTTATGCCCAAAGATCTTGCGGTAACTTGAGGTCATCATTCTGAACATTTATGATCACCATACAGAAAGAATGATAGAGAAGGCAATTGGAGGTAGATTATGTCGAGTCTAATGTGTAGGGACTCCAAGTCATGACTTTTTTAGGAAAAACACATTGATGTCAATCATTTTGCCATATTTTAGTTTTTTACTAGAGGCTGAATGCAAGGAAAAGTGTGGGTATCAGCACTATAATAATTCTGGCCAAACTTAAACTTGACAGCTCCATATAACTACAGTATACAAACTAATATCAACATACTAAAATTTTATTTAGCAAAATTTTCCCCAAAATCATTTCTTGCAGGGATAAGTAGGTTGTCCGTGGTGATTGTTGGAAGAAGTTCATAAACTAGAAAGTCAGTGCTATAGAAAAATCACAGTGTCAAGGAATATTAAATTGAGAAGGATTCTTAGAGATTATCCAAACATGAATGCCAGAGAGATACTGTGACTTGCCTAGGGTCACACACCTGCTAAGTGGAAAGGTCTGTATCTTCTGATTCACTCAATACTCTTTTCACCACTCAACAGGTGAGGTGCTTGTTTAATAGAATTGAGTTTTCATTCATTGGAAAAGAAAAGTGGCTAAAGTCTACATTCATATACTAACCTTTGGAGGACTTAAGAATCTCCAAATTCATTGCCAAATATATAAAGAAGCTTGACTTCTGTTCTTGGCATATTGAGCCAAATACACATACATATATGTACATATACACACTACCATCTGGTTAAAGTGATTTCAATATAGATATTAATAAAGGTGATGGCAATAACAGAAGGAAAACTCTCAGATTTCCTTCAGCCATGCAATTCTTTGAATTCTCATCCATTTCTGTGATACACTCAAAACATCAATGCTCTCATCCACACAATGGCTTTCTTTTACCTTAACTTAAAAATTGGGATCATTATGTGTATGTTTCAGTTCAGTGTGTGGTGATATAAGTCTTCTAAGAAGGTTGCGCACTTTGATGTCAGAATTGAGAAAATGAGTGTCTTAGATATCATGAATTGGTAGTAACTGTTATGCTGGCATGATGAATTGTTTCCAGGAATTGAAATATGATAGACTTGGTTGTTCTGGGAAGAAAGAACACAAAGCCTACCCAGGGAGGGTTGCGGGGGAGGTGGGGATGAAATAATAGACAAGTTAGTAGGACACTTCCCAGGACCAGCAGAATAAGATATTCTATTATTATATTTCTAGTTCCTAGTGGGGTTTTTAATTTTATTTTTATTGAATTTAGCTATTGTTCATACCTGCAAAGAGAGTCCATATGGATCCATAAAGCAGAGAACAATAATCAGATGATCCAATAACCTATAGGAAAGCAGTGCCCCCCAAATACCTTCTCTGCTCTCTCTCAGCACCATGTCTAAAGTAATGAGTGTTAGCAGCATAATAGGGTCATCCCTTCTCTTAGCAGAAAACCTGATAGCAAGTATGTATTCTCAGGCACTGTGCTTACTAACCAGGATAAGCAAAATTCACTAAGAAAATCACAATTCCTTAGCCTTTATCAATTCAAGCTGATTGCCGGGACTCAAAAAACTAATAGTAATAATTATGATAGTAATAAGGAAAGAACATTAACAATCCCTTTTAAAGAACTTACTAAGTGCAGTCTCTTGGTTAGTGTTAACTGTTTTTGTTGTTTTGTTTTGTTTTTTGTTTGTTTGTTTGTTTGTTTTTGAGACGAAGTCTCGCTCTGTCGCCCAGGCTGGAGTGCAGTGGCGCGATCTCGGCTCACTGCAAGCTCCGCCTCCCGGGTTCACGCCATTCTCCTGCCTCAGCCTCCCGAGTAGCTGGGACTACAGGTGCCCGCCACCATGCCCAGCTAATTTTTTTGTATTTTTTAGTAGAGACTGGGTTTCACTGTGTTAGCCAGGATGGTCTCCATCTCCTGACCTCGTGATCTGCCCCCCTCTTAACTCTTACAACTAAACACACACAACTCCTTCATTAAAGAAACAAATGATGGCTTCTTAGGAGAAAACTGATATTTATAAAATAATTAGGGAAAGAAAAAAAACTAACCTTAACCATTAACCAGGAAGTTTCCTGGGGAAAAATACTTTAAAGAGATAAATAGTATGAAGATGGGGTGTATTTTGAGTTTTCATAAAGGAAAGACTATTTAAAAAAAAAATTTGTTCAGCTACTCAGGAGGCTGAAATGGATCACTTGAGCTCAAGAGTTTGAGACCAAGCCTGGGCGACATAACAAGACCCTGTTTTAATTTAAAATATATATATTGTACACTGAAAGTAGAATTTTTTTAAAACCACTTCCTGATGTGGAGAAGCAAGCATCCTGGAAATGCAGAAACTAGATCATCAGCTAATATCAATTGAGTATTTATTATGTTAAGAATTTTATTTTAACCAATCTTTATATGGAATCTATGAGATAGGTACTAAGAATAATAAAATGCAATGTGTATTTAGTATTTAGAATTTTCTGAGCATTACTTTAATTACTTTAGATCAATTTACTCTTTGAGCTCTCTTTATGGCCTATGAAATAGGTACTAGTATTATCCTTATAGAACAGGAAACAAAGCACAGAGATATCAAACACATTGTCCAAAGTATCTCACCACCAAGTAGATAAGCCAGGATTTGAACTCAGGCAGTCTGAATTCAGAGGCTACACTAAGCCATGCTGCCATTATTTTTGTGAACCCTATTATGCCTGTGATGGGTTTTTTTTTTTTCCTTTTCCAAAACAGAGATTTATGGCATCTTCACTCATTTCTTCAACAAACTGATATTTGTTGAGGGCCAGTGTGGTCAGGTCCTGCTCTAGGGCATGGAAAACCTCAGTGACCATAACTGACTGTTCTCTGCTCTTGTGGAGTCATCATTCTAGCTGTCTCTTTGACACAGTTTGGATGTTTGTCCCCTCCAAATCTTACGTTGATGCGTAATCCCCAATGTTGAAGATTGGGCCTGGTGGGAAGTGATTGGATCATAAAAGCGGATTCCTCATGAATAGCATAGCGCCATCCCTTTGGTGATGAGTGAGTTCACGTGAGAGCTGGCCCCTCCTCTCACTCCCTCACTTCTGCTCTCTCTCTTGTTCCTGATCTCACCAGGTGATGTGCTTGCTCCCCCTTCCCCTTCCACCATGATTGTAAGCATCCTGAGGTCCTCACCAGAAGCAGATGCTGAAGCCATGCTTGCACAGCCTATAACACCATGAGGCAATTAAACCTCTTTTCTTAATAAAATACCCAGCATCAAGTATTTCTTGATAGCAACACAAAAATGGCCCAACACAGGCCTCATCTGAGCAATGACTTGAATGCAAATGGGAAGATTTGTCTCATAGAAATCCTGATCCCAAGAAAAAGTGGTCAGGTGAAGGACAGTTAATCAAAGTCCTAAGATAGACGTACATGTTTCAGAAAATTCCAGGTGGAAAGGACAGCTTGAGCAAAGGCTCCAGGGTAGGATCATATTGGGCATGCTTGAGAAAAACAAGGAGGACAAACAGCTGGAGCAGTGAAGCAGAAGGTCAGGATGGTGAAATGGTTTGGCTGTGTCCTCACCTAAATCTCATCTTGAATTGTAATATCCATAATCCCCACATGTCGAGGGAGGGACCCAATGGGAGGTGATTGGATCATGGAGGCAGTTCCCCCCTTGCTGTTCTCATAATAGCGAGTGAATTCTCACAAGATCTGATGGTTTCATAATCATCTGGCATTTCCCCTGTTTGCACTTCTCCCCACTGCCACCACGTGCAGATGGTCCTTGCTTCACCTTTGCTTTCTGGCATGATTGTAAGTTTCCTGAGGCCTCCCCAGTCATGTGGAACTGTGAGTCAATTAAACGTCTTTCTTTTATAAATTACCCAGTCTCAGGTAGTATCTTTATAGCAGTGTGAGAACAGAGTAATACAGATGGTCACAGGGACTAGACATTATAAGGCCCACAGTAAGCACACTGGTTTTCACTTTGAGTAAAATGGGGAGCCATTGCAGGGTTTTGAACTGAAAAATGACATAATCTGACTTGTTTCTTAAAAGAATCAGTCTACTGAATTGTGAATAGGCTGTAGACAGGCAAGGATAGAAGTAACAAGTTCCTGATAAACTGATGTGGGGAAGGCTAATGTGGACCAGGGACCGAGCTGAAAGATCAGGAACTCAAGTTTGGATACACTGAGTTCAAATGCTTATTAGACTTATGAGTGGAAATGCCAGGTTGACAGTTGACAGGACTTTGGGAGAGAGACCTAGGCTAAGGATGTAAAACTAGGGGTTACCAGCACATAAATGAAATTGAAACCTACATGGCTGGATGAGGTTAATAAGCTAGCAGATATAGCTGGAGAGAAGGCCTAAGGACTAGCTCTGGGCAGTCTAACTTTAACAGGAGGAACCAGCAAAGGAAACTAAGAAGGAACAAACAAATGAGGCAAAAGAAGATAAATGAATTTGATGTTCTACAAGGCAAGTATAAAGCATATCTCAAAGAGTAATTTTTTTTTATTAAGCCCTTTGTAAACAGGCCTTATTTTCACCACTCTGTTGCTTGTCATTTGTATCAGACAGCTATTGGTGCTTCTGTGGCTGACCTCACTCATGAGCCTGCTGTTGTTGAACCAGACTAGGAACCACTCGCCCAGTGCAGCAAAGCCAAACACTGACATTGCGATTATGGCAAAAGAAAGGGAGACATTTATTGCAGAGCACCAAGCAAGGAAAATCAGGCAGCTAACGCTCATGACCTGAACTTCCAGATGGCTGATAGAGAAGGGTTTTTAAAGGTGGGGAGGCTGAGGTTATAGGCAAAGTCATAAGTAAAAACATGGAAGCTATATATTAGTTTGAACTAAAAAGGCAGGACATCTCCAAGTGGGAGCCTACAGGTTATAGGTGGATTCAAAGATTTTCTGATTTGTGATTAGTTAAGAGGGCAAAGCTTTGTCTGAAAATTTGGGATCAGCAGAAAAGAGTGTTAGCTTTGGCTCATGGACATGACCTCCTCCAAGCACCTCAGGAAGAAATTTAGAACAAAGAATGGCAGGCAGAATTCAGTCCTCAGTTTCCCCTTATCTGAGGCCTCTGTGCCCACAGATCTATTTGGTGGGGGGCTGGGTTTCTAAAACACAACTCAGGGACATGTGTTAAGATGTTATCTTTAGTTTCTACAGAGAACAAAATATCCCATGATTCTAGCTTCCTTCCTTCTTGGCTATTGTTTTAAACTACTATTACTTTCTTGCTTATCAAGTTGTTCTCAGGGCTAGCTGAGTGCCTGGAATTTCTCATGAAGGAACTCAAGATTTTCCTTTATTTTCAGGCTCAGGGGGCTCTGCAGGGCCCTTAGAGGGGTCCCTGTTCTGTCTCACTACAGCCAGCTGGAAGGTCAGCTGGGGGCTGGTTGGTCTAGGATGACTTAGGCTTGGCTGATTCAGCTCTGTTCCATATGATGTCTCATGCTTCAGGGGACTAGCCCAGTCTTATTCTCACAGAAGAAGGCAGGGGTTCAAGAGAGAACAAAAGAAAGGGAGGGAAGAAATGCACAGGCATCTAGAGTCCTAGGCTTGGAACTGGAACACTGTCACTGTTGCTATTTTATATTGGCCAAAGCACGTCAAAAGATCAGTATGTATTCAAGATGTAGAAAGTACATTAAACTTTTTGATGAGATGAATGCAAGTCACGATGCATAGATCATGGAAATAGAGAGGGATGAAAATTTGGAAACATTTTGCAATCACTCTTGATACTAGTTCTTATCACTCTTAAGTCCCTGTCTCTATCAGGAGGCTGTCCTCACAATTCCACAAACCACACCTGTGATTGTGATGCCCTCCCTATGTAGGCTGCTTTCCGCATCTCCTGTGCCTTTCTAGACCTGCAGCTTAACTCCTTCATCTTTTCAAGCCATTTCTATTCATACAGATCTCTCCCCCTTTGAATGCCTGCAGCCCCTGTAATTGGAACCATATATAATACATTAAAGTGCTTAAGTAGGGGGTTGGCACATAACACACACTTAATAAATGGTAGCTATCACCATGATTCTTCTTTACAACATTACAAGTCATCTGAAACTTTCCTCTAATGATTTTAGGCAGGAGTCTTGTCAGTCTCCTGAAGTGTGCCTTCATCCCCTTAATAAAAGAGAGATGTCATCTGTATTTTTGTGTTCTAATGGCAGCCAGCACAGAGAGAGGCACATAATGAGTTCTCAGTACATTTTTGTTAATTATTAAGGATTGATTTAAAGTCTAAGGAGCTTCGTATAGTTTGGAAATTATCACGTAGTAGAAACGTCTTGAAGCTACATAAGTCTTGAGAAGGCTAAAAGTATGCATCTTGGAGAAAATTCTATTACGAGTGGAAGGATTATTCTAAGGAAATTATTTGAACAATTTTTCACCATTTCAGAGCAATTTTGCTGTTTAACTACTTGGAATTAAAGAAGTGAACTTGGGAGTTCTGGAAGCCTGATAAAAGCAGGTGTTAATCACTTTTAAGCACTGTACCTTGTATTGTCAGCAAATACGTTGTAACATCCATTAAGTACTTTCCCTGAAACTTCAAAATAAATCCTGCTCTCGCTGGTAAGCTTGAAAGAGAGACAATAAAATTCAGGTTCTCTCAAAATTGAAATGAGAGGCTGCAAAAGAAGAAAAAATAAACATATAATGGAAGGAAAATGCCAGCAAGTATATTAAAAATTGCAGTAACATCATTACCTGACTGAGGTTATGTGTTCTGTGGCTCCTGTTTGAATCACAGGCTTCATTACTTCAGCGTCAGGTCTCACCATTTAGGAGATAAAAATTACTGGAATAGCGTTTGGGGGTGAGCAGGAGGATATCAGAGGTCAAATGAAGTATTCACTGAACCATTTCCATAGAGCAAGATTATTTTGCTTCTTTATGAAATTAAATTTTCCATAAATAACATGCGTGTCATGGAGTTCAACACACTTTTTTTTCCTTAGAAGTCAAATAAAATCAAAATTAGAAAGTCTCCGTAAAATAACAGTGAAATTTCTGATTTTTAACCATTTAATAATTGCTGTAAGCTTTGCATCAAGCAGAATCTGAGTTGCAAATATATGGGTATTAAATTTGTTCCTTATGGAATACACTCTGGAATAAAATTGGAATGCAAAACATAGAAATTGGAACATTAGATGTGTCAAGGCATTTTTCATTTTTAAATATTTCCATAGGTTTTGATTTTCCATTGTATTTGTTAAAAGCCTGGACATCTGTTCACTGTATGGGCATGCAATTGAGTTTACTGTTGCTGAACATGAGAGCTTTTTGGTTGAGATTTTAGAAAAGTTTAAGTTGCATAGACCACACCTGGAGATTTAGACTCTATAATAAAAAGTTCTAGTGACTTAAAATGGAACATGTACTTTGTGGCCAATTGATCCGTCTCCTTCCCTCCCTCCCCCAACCTCCTTTACCCACTTTGAATTCAGGAATTACATCCTGATACCAAGACACGTTATACTTCAACATTTGTAGCTTTCTCCTCGTCTTCACTCTGTCTTTTCTAATTCATTCTGCTTATTGTCAGATTAATCTCCCTCAAGTAAAGATTCATCATATTCATTCATTGTTTTAAAACTTTCAATATTTTTTCTTTTTTTTAAATTTCAATAGGTTTTTGGGGGAACAGGTGGTGTTTGATTACATGAATAAGTTCTTTAGTGGTGATTTCTGAGATTTTGATATACCCATCACCCGAGCAGTGTACACTGTTCCCAATGTGTAGTCTTTTATTTACCTCCTTCCCACCCTTTCTCCCGAGTCCCCAAAGTCCATCGTATCATTCTTATACCTCTGCATCCTTATAGCTTAGCTCCCATTTATGAGAATGTACAATGTTTGGTTTTCCATTCCTGAGTTACTTCACTTAGAATAATGATCTCCAATTTCATTCGGGTTGCTGTGAATGTCATTATTTCATTCCCTTCTATGGCTGAGTAGTACTCCATGGTGGGTGTGTGTGTGTGTGTGTGTGTGTGTGTGTGTGTGTGTGTATAGGTGTGTGTATATATATATGTATATATGTGTGTGTATATATGTATATACACACATATATGTATATATACACATATATGTATGTGTATATGTATATATGTATATACGTATATACACATATATACATATATATACACACACATATATACACATATATATATACGTACACACACACACACACATACACACTACAATTTCTTTACTCTTTGATTGATGGGCATTTGGGCTGGTTCCATGATTTTGCAATTGTGAATTGTGAATTGTGATGCTATAAACATGCGTGTACCAGTATGTTTTTGTTTTTGTTTTTTGTATAATGACCTCTTTTCCTCTGGGTAGATACCCAGTACTGGGATTGCTAGATAAAATGGTAGTTCTAGTTCTTTAAGGAATTCTCCATAGTGGTTGTGCTAGTTTACATTCCCACCAGCAGTGTAAAAGTGTTTCCTTTTCACTGCATCCATGCCAACATCTATTTTTTTTATTTTTTAATTATGGCCATTAATTAAGGTGGTATCGCACCTTACTGAACAAAGAAACAATGGATTGAAGCTATACCCTAGAAAAAATGGACTTAATAGGTATTTACAGAAGATTCTACCCAACAACTACAGAATATACATTCTACTCATCAGCACATGGAACATTCTCCAAGGCAGACCATATGATAGGCCATAAAACAAGTCTCAGTACATTGAAGAAAACTGACATTATATCAACTACTCTCTCAGACCACAGTGGAATTAAATTGGAAATCAACTCCAAAGGGAACCCTCAAAACAATGCAAGTACATGGAAATTAAATAACCTGCTCCCAAATGATTGTTCGGTAAACAGTAAAATCAAGACGGAAATTTAAAAATTCTTTGAACTGAATGATAACAGTGACACAATCCACCAAACCCTCTGGGATAAAGCTAAGGTGGCGCTAAGAGGAAAGTTCATAGCCTTAAATGCCTACATCAAAAAGTCTGAAAGAGCCCCAATAGACAATCTAAAGTCACACCTCAAGAAACTAGAGAAACAAGAACAAACCAAACCCAAACCTAGCAGAAGAAAAGAAATAACAAAGATCAGAGCAGAACTAAATGAAACTGAGGAACCAAAAAATACAAGAGATAAATGAAAGAAAAAGCCGGTTCCTTGAAAAGGTATATAAAATTGATAGGCCATTAGCAACATTAACCAAGAAAAGAAGAGAGATCCAGATAAGCTCAATTAGAAACAAAGCATGAGAAATTACAGCTGATACCACAGAAATTCAAAAGATCATTCAAGGCCACTGTGAACATCTTTATGCACATAAACTACAAAACCTAGAGGAGATGAATAAATTCCTGGAAATACATAACCCTCCTAGATTAAACCAGGAAGAATTAGAAACTCTGAACACACCAATAACAAGCAGCAAGATTGACATGGTAAAAAATTGCCAATAAAAAAAGGCCAGGACCAGATGGAGTCACAGCTGAATTCTATCAAACATTCAAAGAGGAATTGATACCAATTCTATTGACACTATTCCACAAGATAAAGAGAAAATCCTCCCTAAATCATTCAATGTATTTTGCATTTCTCTGTGTCCTTCATTTCCAGAAATCATGGTTTCTTATTTAAGCTATGTCACTGAAGATTTTTCTCTCATATCTTGTATCATTTTTTTTTATTTCATTAAGTTAGACTTAACATCTTTCTGGTGTCTTCTTGATTAGCTTAATAATGGATCTCCTGAATTATTTTTCTGGCAATTCAGGAATTTCTTCTTGGTTTGGATCCATTGCTGGTGAGCTAGTGTGATCTTCTGGTGGTGTTAAAGAATCTTGTTTTGTCATATTACCAGAATTGTTTTTCTGGTTCCTTCTCACTTGGGTAGACTATATCAGAGGAAAGATCTGTGGCTCAGTACTGTTCAGATTCTTTTGTCCAATGGGATGCTCCCTTGATGTAGGGCTCTCCCTGTTCCCCTAGGGGTGTGGCTTCCTGAGAGCCAAACTGCAGTGATTGTTATTTCTCTTGTGGATCTAGCCACCCAGCAGAGCTACCAGGCTCCAAGTTGGTACTGAGGGTTGTCTGCCCAGGGTCCTGTGATGTGAACCATCTTCAGGTCTCTCACCCATGGATAGCAGCACCTGCTCTGGTGGAGGTGGCAGGGGAGTGAAATGGGCTCTGTAAGGGTCCTTAGTTGTAATTTTGTTTATTGCACTAGTTTTGTGTTGGCTGGCCTCCTGCCAGTAGGTGGCACTCTCAAGAGAGCATCAGCTGTGGTAGTATAGGGAGGATCAGGTGGTGGGTGGGGCCCTAGAGCTCCCAAAGGATATGTCCTTTGTCTGTGGCTACCCATGAGGGTAGAGAAAGACCATCAGGTGGGGACAGGGTTAGGTGTGTCTGAGCTCAGATTCTCCTTGGGCCGGGCTTGCTGTGGCTGCTGTGGATTTGGGTTGTGGTTCTCAGGCCAATGGAGTTATGTTCTCAGGGAGATTATGGCTGCCTCTGCTGAGTCATGCAGGTTGCCAGGTTGCCAGGGAAGTGGGGGAAAGCCAGCTGTTATAGGCCTCACCCAGCTCCCATGCAGCCCAAAAGGCTGGTCTCACTCTCACTGTGCCCCCAACCCAGCAACAGCACCCAGTTTATTTCCAGGCAGTGGGTGAGCAGGGCTGAGAACTTGCCTCAGGCTACCAGCCTCCCAGCTAAGAATGCAAGCAGGGCTGTCAGGTTTTGTGCCTCCCAGCCTGTGGGATTCCGTGCTGTGTCTGTACTTCTAATTCACCCCCTCCCCTGAATTGAGTCCAGGAAACTTCACGTTCAGTCAAAATTGTTAGAGTCTAGCTGGAAGTTTCCTTCTCCCTGTGATCCTTCCCCAGTTCCTCTGGCAGCCCTCCCCAAGGACCTCTGTGAGACAAAGTCAGAAATGGCTTCCCTGGGGACCGGGAGAACTCACAGAACTCTTCCCACTGCTTCTTCTACCCGGGTATTTCACTTGGCCCTCTAAATTTGTCTCAGCTCCAGGTGAGGTTAAATCCTTCTCCCGTGATCTCAACCTTCAGGTTGGTTCCCCATTGAGGGTGTGTGTTCTGGGGCAGACAATCCCTCTTTCATACTTTCACACTTTGGGCACTCACAGTTTTTCAGCTGTCTCCTGGGGCCTGAAGGAGCAATCTGCTTCCTTCAAAGGGTCTGTGGATTCTCTCCTTAAAATTTTCAATAATTTAATTAGACCTTGAAAATAAAAGTAAACAACTTTAGCTTGGTATTTAAGACCTCTCACAGAATAATGTCAACCCACCTCTCCTGTGATGCCATTGCTCCTTTATATGATGCTTTCATTCAGACAGCTGGTCTACTTTTCTTCTCTATCTTTCTCTCTCTCTATATATATATGTGTGTGTGTATATATATGTATATATATATACACACACACACAGTGTCTCCTCATAGATGTGTGTGTGTGTATATATATATATATATATATATACACACACTCATACAGTGTCTCATTAACAGAGAGTGAGACTCTCCATGTCAGGAACCCCATATACTTGAAATTCCTGCCTTCTCTCCACCTACCTAATCCAATGCTATCATCCAAGCTCAGTTCACCTCCTCATAAAGCTTTCTCTGACTAATAAAAACAGAAGCTGTCAAGCATCCTGAGAGGCAGTGGACATTGAACAATACCTGCTGATACCTGACCTAAGAAAGCCTTTTCCCTTTCTGGAATTTAGTTATTTTGATTAGTTTGCATTCACAACCCTCCAAATTGTCCAGTTTTTCTAGTTGTTTTTGTGAGAACAATGATCTGTGAGAAACTTTGACGTTCTAACTGGAAAAAAAACCTTCTTTCTTCAGTGATTTTTTTGGGAGCCTCTGGAAAGCATAGTTAACAAATCAATGTCAGGTAGGTTTAAAATAAATATTAAGCTTTGAGCATGTTCTTGTCTACAAACATTGGAAGAAACACGTTTATTCAAGACTGATAAACATAGTTGTGCTCTATCTGCTGATGCGTTCTTTAGACCTGTGACATGGAATATAGTGGCAGAAAACAAATTGGCCTAATGTAATAGCTTCCAACAAAGTCTGAAATTTTATTATAATTGCAAAGCAGTTGCAGCACAAATCATATTAATGTGTTGTAAGGTCCTCATATCCTCATTTAACTCTACATGATCTCAGCTAAAGCAAGTCTTAAGAGTTATTAATATTCACTATTACTTTTTATTGGTAGCAATTCTTTTTCTTTACTAAGTGTGACATTTTGAATAATGAAATTTGCAAAACCTTGTTTACTAACACTTTGTAAAAGTTCTCATGTAAGGTGATTCCTAGATACCTGCTTCACTCATTCAACTTAAAATTTTTCATTAAGGCAGCATTTCCAAAGAGTACTTCACAGAATGCTGATTCCCAAATATTGTTAAAATAAGGTCCTATAGATAAAGGTATCTTGGAAATCAAGTGCAATACCTCTCTTGATTTTATCAATCAGCGTTTAGCGTATGAAAGGATCTGAATGATTATGCAATAATACTTTTTTAATTTGTTCGATTTGGCATTTCCACACACTAAATTAAAAAATCTTTTTTTAACATCACATCTAGTAAGCCCTTAAATCTGATGTTTTATGAAATACCCTTTGGAAAATGGCTAAGAGAGCAATAAGGAAGTTAATAAAAATCATATATACCTACTTTTTTGAATGAATTGAGAGACAGGCAGCTCTGTTGTATACAATACAGCCTAGAAATCTCAATATCTTTGGCAGAGATTTGAGATGTAATTTAATAGACTTTAAGCTGGGAGTGTTGGGTCATGCCTGTCCTCCCAGCACTTTGAGAAGATAAGGCAGGAGGATTGTTTGAGGTCAGGAGTTCGAGGCCAACCTGGGCAACAAAGTGAGACCTGTCTCTACAAAAACATTTAAAAATTAGCCGGTTGCAGTGGCACATACCTTTAGTCCCAGCTACTCGGGAGGCTGAGGTGGGAGGATCTCCTGAAACCAGCAGTTCAAGGCTGCAATGATTAACGCTTGTGCCGCTGCACTCCTGCTGCGTGACAGAGTAAGACCCTGTCTACAAAAAAAAAAACAAAAAACAAAAACAAAAAAAACCAACTAAACTAAAAAGCAGACTTTAGTCTATATATGCACTCTCTTGTAAGTATTGTAGTATTTCTGAACACTGTGGAACTTGTGAACATGGCAGAACTACCAGCCTTTTCAGAATAAGAAATGACATAATTATATGATGTTATAGACTCTCAGCATTTTTCAAAAAAGATTTTGAATGACAAGGAGATCCTCCTGGAAAGAAACATAACAATCTGCATGATTTTCTTTGTATCTGAAATCATCTATAAATATTTGTGCATATTTCCTAGGGGTTTCTGACCCTATTAGCAAGACTTTATATCTGAAAATATAATCTTAAGTAGAAGCTACTACTTTCGTTTCTGTGAAATTAGGTGAACAAGTCTTACAAGCTAAAGTTTATTTTTAGCCATTATAAATGCCAAATTTTATCCAGTCAAGAGAATCACTGGAGTGTTTCATCACTGTGAATTTCCATACATAATGAAGATCCAACTCCATGATGTCATCCAGGAAATTTCCAATTTTTAGAAACATAGTATAAGAATTATCTCACCTGAGGCCTGATGTTGGTGAAACTTGAATCTTTCAGCACTACTGGATGGTGCTGAAGTTTTCTCTGCCTGGAATTCTTCCCCCGAAACATTCCTCTTGGTTAAATCTTACTCAACCTTGAGGTTTTAATTTAAATGTTTCTTTCTCAGAGAGAACTTATGTGACCTCCCTCCCTAAAGCAATTCAAATAAGCTCTCTACATTTATCCTGTCTCAGAGTAACCTAGTTTTAATAATTATATATTTATTTAAAATTTTAAATATGTAATGTCTGCCTCTCCCACTAGACTGTGAACTCTACACAGGCAGAGATTTTATCTGATGGATTTTTGTTTTCACCACAGTGTAATCAATGCTACGAACAGTTTTAGCACATAATTGTTACTTGATAAATACTTGTTGGCTGAAGGAAGTGCATGTTCTTTATAGATGGAATCAAAAAATGTCAAATCTGGCTGGGCGCAGTGGCTCACGCCTGTAATTTTAGCACTTTGGGAGGTTGAGGTCAAGAGTTCGAGACCTGTCTGGCCAACATGGTGAAACCTCATCTCTACTAAAAATACAAAAATTAGCCAGGTGTGGTGGTGAGCGCCTGTAATCCCAGCTACTCGGGAGTCTGAGGCAGGAGAATTGCTTGAACCCAGGAAGCAGAGGTTGCAGTGAGCCGAGATCATGTCAGTGCACCCCAGGCTGGGCAACAGAGCAAAAACTCCCTCTCAAAAAAAAATAAATAAATAAAAATAAAATAAAAATGTCAAATCTAAAAATGTCAAAGACTAGAATGGTAGTTACTAAGGGTTCAGGGAGTAGGGGGTATGAGGGGATGTTTGTGAAGAGCTACAGAATTTCAGTTTTGCAAGATAAATTCTAGAGACCTAATGTACAACAATGTGACTATAATTAACAATATTGTATAATATACTTGAAATTTGTTAAGAGGTTAGAGCAGAAGTGTTCTTACCTCACAGGTAACTATGAGGTGATAGAAATGTTAATTGGCTTCATTGTACTGGATATTTCATAATGCATATAGGTATCAAATCATCAAGTTGTATGTGTTAAATATATACAATATTAAATTTTCAACCATACCTCAAGCTTGAAAAATAATTGATGTATACATGCAAGCATCCCTCAGTATCATCATATATTTTAATCCTAACAAAAACTTGTTTGAATTGCACAGTAGAATTCTGTTCAGAGTCTTCTTTTGCTTCAAGATGAAATAAAAGCTATTGATCAACTGCAAATCCCAAGAAACAAATTTGTCATAAAATTTTCCACAAAGTAGTAGCTTTAAGTACAAAAAGGGATTTTAGGCCGGGCACGGTGGCTCACGCCTGTGATCCCAGCACTTTGGGAGGCCGAGGCAGGTGGATCACAAGGTCAGGAGATCGAGACCATCCTGGCTAACATGGTGAAACCCCGTCTGTATTAAAAAAAATACAAAAAAATTAGCTGGGTGTGGTGGCGGGCGCCTGTAGTCCCAGCTACTCAGGAGGCTGAGGCAGGAGAATGGTGTGAACCCAGGAGGCGGAGGTTGCAGTGAGCCGAGATCGCACCACTGCGCTCCAGCCTGGCCAACAGAGTGAGACTCCATCTCAAAAAAAAAAAAAAAGAAAAGAATTTTAATGTTAGGTCTTGGTATTCAATTGCATAACCAAAATATTTGAGAAATATTTGGACTTCCCTTGTTTTATTTTCTTTCAAAAGGCTGTTTTCTGTGTCATTACAAAGTGTATTAGTTAACAAGAGAACAGTCGTGGTGAGAGAAACACACATTTTGTGTTACCTTCTATGCCCATAACTTGATTGTGATGGGATAGTCTGCCTGCATTTAGGTAAAGCTGTGAGGTCCTTTCCCCACAGGAAAAGACTATGCAAATTTTCCACCAGGGTCATCTTCCCACTTACTTCCTAAGAGTTTGTAAATATTAGACCAAATGCTGGTGGCTGTTAAATGTAGCATGGCTGCAGTGATCCCAGGTGCTAACATTTGCCTGGAATGCTATAAAAAATAGCACTACTAATCAGAAGAAATGGAAATACCTCTAATTTGTTCCTTAAAGGTAATGGCTGCCTAAGAAATATTTTCACTGTTTTTCCTACAATTTCTTTTGGAAGCCCAGAGTAGGAAGTAATTGTTTTAGTTGGTGCTGAAGATTGGGAAGGTATTCAGGGCATAGCCACATCCAGCTTGTCCTAAAGAAATGCTGAAAATGATGTTAGAATGGTGGAAGAGAGATTCCATATCTGCTTTTCCTCCCTTCTCTTCGTCTTGGAACATGTGAGATGGAAATACTCATTACTGAGAAAAATTCAACCCCAAGATAAGAGGTTTGTCCTTGTCTGACAGAAAGGGCTATCATGAGAGGGAAAAAAGTGTTACATTCATCATTGCCTGCAGAAGAAGATGGTGTTAAGTAACGCTGGGAGAAATTCTGAGCCCTCTCTTTTTCTTCCTCCTCCCCCAACCCACCTCCACTTCTTTTAACCATAGTCCATGTAGAAAAAGCTATTGATTGTTCTATAAAATTTTAAATTATCCTCAGGATAAAATATCCTTAACAATTTTTGTTTGTATTTTTTTGTAGTGTACTCTGTGCAAGCCCAAGATAAAACCCAAAACAACTTGTTTTTTAATGGTTTGGTTTTGCCAGGCTTGAACTGACATAAATTGATTCATGTGAGATAAATTTAACGAGCTAGAACCTCTCTAATGAATAATTAGCTAATCATACAATTTTTACAACTGAAAGTTACCTAATCACATGTCTTCAGTTTACAAATGAGAATTAAGTCCTTGGCTCTCCTCTGAGTACAGTCATAAAAGTTGTTGGCTGCTTCAAAGAACAACTCAAATGACCTCTCATTACCTCCTGTATTAAATGCAAGCCAATGTTAGTACTGGATAGAGATTTAGTAGAAGCCAGAAGTCTTTCTAAAGTGACTTCTTAGACATTGGAATAGTTAATTCAAAGGCTGCGGTTATTCTTGAGCTGATGTTTCCTATGGATTATTTTACCCATGAGCAGTGATACTTACATTTGAGATCAACAATCAATAGTGTAAAAAAATTTATTTAGAGCATCCTTGTAGATAAACCTCACTTTGTAGCCCCTTCAAGTATTAAGATGATCCTGTTTAATTTTTCTCCATTTTGAATATTTTATTAGAATATTTCAAGAGGATTAGAATATTTCAAGGTTTCTTTCAAGAGGAAAACAGTCGGTAAAACAGAGAAAGAAGTTCAGTTAAAAAGGAAATCTGTCAACAATTATTTAGCACAAATATTCTGTAAAACACTTTAATGCATGTTTTTGCATGCACTAAATTATCTCATTCAGTTCTTTCAACAACTCTGAGGTAAAAAATGTATTTTGTAGATAAAATAAACTAAGTGATGAAAAATGAATGAAACTAAGTGATGAAGTAACACGCAATCACCATGTGGTTGGTAAATTCAGGTCAGTCTGATTTCAGTGCTCTTTTTATTATCATCTTTGAAGCTTGGACTATACTGAGTAAAAAATATGTGAAAATAGTAAATGATACAGACAGAAGTATCTTGAGTAACTGTCTGCAGAAGGGTACTGATGGAATTCAGAGTTAAATGGTAGAACCAGAGAGCTTGGGTGAGGCGCACGTTTTCTTTGTTTATATGCTCAGAATGTTCTTCATCCAGTTGGAGAAACAAATTTGTTTACTCTCTCTCTGTGTATGTGTGTGCACACACATGTGTATTTGTATGCAGCTAGAGTTTGAGAGTTAACATCAACATCTAAGAACCAGCTCACGAATTAAACTTAACTACTTAAGATCCCAGTTACAGCTCTGGGAGAGAAGATGAGTCTTTCTGAATTGATCCTCAGATAAAATCTGTATCTTTCGTGGCTATCATATAACCTTATTGGATTACAAGAAATACACAATGGGTTCTCTCCAATTGGGAAAAAAACTTTCCATCAAATGTATGGTTCTTGAATAATAATTTAGAACTGTAGATATCCAACTAAAATCTAGAAGTTACATTTATTTAGGATACTTAGAGATAAAATTAGAATTATGTTTGAGTTTTATGAGAAAAAAACAAAACAGGAAGAGCTGTATTAGGAAGAAATCGATTTCTCTCACATGTAAAAGGAATATAAGATCTTCTGCTTCTGGTATAATTCAGCCTCTTTTTATCTTGTATTTCTCCCATGCAGAGCTTCTATGCTCAAAGTCACTTTAAGGTCCAAGATGGCTGCTGGAACTCCAGCAATCACATGCACGTTCTAGCAACTGAGAAAGAGGATACATCTGGAAGTTGCACAAATTTCTGTTTATATCCATTTGGTAAAAGCCTAGCCAAAACTCTGTATGTAGATACAAGGCATCCTAGGTAGTACAGTATTTATTTATTTGGGTTGGCCACATATTTATCTAAAAGGGGTTCTGTTACAGTGGTTCAAGTGGACAATGGACATTGGAGGAAGAATAATAAACACTCTTCCCTACATAGTGGTATGGCAGTTTTGGGGGAAAGAAAAATATAAGGCAAAAACTAGCGTATATCAGGATTGACATGGAGAAGAATTAAACTTAACTACTTAAGAGTCCAGAGTTACAGCTCTGGGAGAATAATAAAGCTGGGGAGGACTTTAGAGAATTATATGGGAATGAAAGTACAATGAGCATGGATTTGATTCTTCACAAAAGCAAGCAATACTACTTTAAATTGTAAATATCAGGAATCATTTATTAGATACAGATGTTTATATAAATGATAAAAGGGAATGCTCCATGCTGAGAAAAGATGAAAATATAAATAATTTCCCACATGGAATTTACAATTTGCTTTTGTTGCAATAGTTTTTGGCTGCTGTTTTTGCTAGATGCTGTAATAAAACTTAAAAAAAAATGTATTATAGCTCAAACAAAAGGTTATTTCTAGCTCAGATAAAGCCTAAAATATAGCCCTAGACAAAAAGCTAGCTCATTTCCATGCTGTGATTTGGGGATCCAGGCTCCTTCCATCTCGTGGCTCCACCATCTTCAACCATTGGCCTCTAAACTTAGAATGCTCATGATGTCCATCAAGTTTGCCGAAGGTGAAAAAGGATGGAGGATCATGTATCTCAGGATTTTATGGTCCAGGCCAGGAACTGGTGCATATCACTGCCATTCACATTTCATTAACTAGAACTTCAAAAAATAAATCAATAAATAAAATAAAGTGAAAGTTTATCTGTAGGTCCAGGAAGAAGAGGAAATGGGCTTAGTGAAAAACTAAACTCTGATAGAGCCCATCCTTGTTGTTTTTAAATAACCTATTTTGTTCTTCTTTTTGGTTTTTAAAATAATTTTTTATTTGTAATTTTTGTGGGTACTTAGGAGGTATATATATTTATGGAGTACCTCAGATGTTTTGATACAGGCATGCATGCAATGTGTAAAAATCACATCATGGAAAATAGGGTATTCATCGCCTCAAGCATTTATCCTTTGTGTTACAAACAATACAGTTCTACTAGTTAGTTTAAAATGTATAATTAATTGACTATAGTCACCCTGTTGTGCTATCAAATACTAGGTCTTATTCATTCATTCTATTTTTTGTACCTATTAACCATCCCCATCTCTCCCCAACCCCACCACTACCCTTCCTATCATCTGGTAACCATCCTTCTACTGTCTGTCTCCATGGGTTCAGTAGTTTTGATTTTCAGGTCCCACTAATAAGTGAGAACATGCAATATTTGTCTTTCTGTGCCTGACTTATTTCACTCAACCTAATGACCTCCAGTTCCATCGTGTTGTTGCAAATGACAACCTCATTCTTCTTTTTAATGGCTGAATAGTCCTCCGTTGTGTATAAGTACCACATTTTCTTTATCTATTTATCTGTTCATGGACACTTAGATTGCTTCCAAATCTTGGCTATTGTGAACAGAGCTGCAACAAACATGGGAGTGCAGATATCTCTTTGATATACTGATTTCCTTTTGGGTATATGTCCAGCAGTGCGATTGCTGGAGCATATGGTAGCTCTATTTTTAGTATTTTGAGCAACCTCCAAACTGTTCTCTATAGTAGTTTTACAGATTTACATTCCCACAAACAGTGTACAAGGGTTCCCTTTGCTTCACATCCTTGCCGGCATTTGTTATTGCCCAAGTTTTGGATGTAAGGCGTTTTAACTGGGATCAGATGATATCTCACTGTAGTTTTGATTTGCATTTCTCTGATCAATGGTATTGAGCACCTTTTCATATGTCTGACTGCCGTTTGTAAATATTCTTTTAAGGAAGGTATTCAGATCTTTTGCCCATTTTAAAATAGGATTATTAGACGTTTTTCCTATAGAGTTGTTTGAGCTCCCCCTATATGCTGGTTATTGATCCCTTGTCAGAGTTTGCAAATATTTTCTCCCATTCTGTGGGTTTTCTATTAACTTTGTTGATTGCTTCCTTTGCTGTACAGAAGGTTTTTAACTTGATGTGATCCCATTTGTCCATTTTTGCTCTGTTTGCCTGTGTTTGTGGGGTATTACTCAAGAAATCTTTGCTTGGAGCAATGTCCTGGAGATTTTCCCCAATGTTTACTTGTAGTAGTTTTGTACGCTGAGGTGTTAGATGCGAGTCTTTAATAAATTTTGATTTCATTTTTGTATACGGTGAGAGATAGGGGTCTAGTTTCATTCTTCCACACATAGATATCCAGTTTTCCCAGTACCACTTATTGAAGAGACTGTGCTTTCTTCAGTGTATGCTTTTGGCTCCTTTGCCAAAAATGAGTTCACTGTAGGTGTGTGGATTTTTTTCTGGGTTCTCTATTCTGTTCCATTGGTCTGTGTGTCTGTTTTTATGCCAGTACCATGCTGCTTTGTTTACTATAGCTCTGTAGTCAGCTATAATTTGAAGTCAGGTTATGTGATTCCTCTAGTTTTGTTCTTTTTTGCTTAGGATAGCTTTGGCTATTCTGGGACTTCTGTGGTTCTGTGTAAATTGTAGGATTTTTTTTTTCTATTTCTGTGAAGAATGTCCTTGGTATTTTGATAAGGGATTACATTGAATCTATAGATTGCTATGGGTAGTATGGACATTTTAACAATATTCTTTCAATCCATGAATATGGAATATCTCCATTTTTTGTGTGTCCTTCAATTTCTTTTATCAGCATTTTACAGTCTTTATTATAAAGATCTCTCACTTCCTTGGTTAATTTCTAGGTATTGAATTTTATGTGTGGCTTTTCATTTCTTTTTCGGATTACTCACTGTTGGCATATAGAAATGCTATGGATTTTTGTATGGTGATTTTTGTATCCTGCAACTTTACTAAATTTGTTTCTAATAGTTCTAATAGTTTTTCATGGAGTCTTTAGATTTTTCCAAATATAAGATATCATCTGCAAACAAGGATAACTTGACTTCTTCCTTTCCTATCTGGATGCCCCTTATATCTTTCTCTTATCTGATTGCTCTAGCTAGGATTTCTTGTACTATGTTGAATAACAGTGGGCATCCTTGTTGTGTTCCACATCTTAGAGGAAAGGCTTTCAGTTTATCCTTATTCAGTACAATACTAGCTGTAGGTCTGTCATATATAGCTTTTATTATGTTGATATGTGTTCTTTACCCAGTTTTTTGAGGGTTATCATGATCTGATGTTAAATTTGATCAAATGCTTTTTCAGCATGAATTGAAATGATCATATGGGTTTTGTCCTTAATTCTATTGATAAGATGTATCACATTGATTTGCATACATTGAACCATCCTTGCATCCCAGGGATAAATCCCACTTGATCATGATAAATGATTTTTTTTTTTTTTTGAGACAAAGTTTCACTCTTGTTGCCCAGGCTGGAGTGCAATGGTGTGATCTTGGCTCACCGCAACCTCTGCCTCCCGGGTTCAAGTGATTCTACTGCCTCAGCCTCCCAAGTAGCTGGGATTGCGGACATGTACCACCATGCCCAGCTAACTTTCTATTTTTAGTAGAGAGGAAGTTTCTCCATGTTAGTCAGGCTGGTCTCAAACTCCTGACCTCAGGTGATCCACCCACCTCGGCCTCCTGAAGTGCTGGGATTGCAGGCATGAGCCACTGTGCCTGGCCAATGAATGATATTTTCAAGGTATTGTTGAATTCAGTTTGCTATTTTTTATTTATTTATTTATTTTTGAGATGGAGTCTTGCTCTGTCACCCAGGCTGGAGTGCAGTGGTGCAATCTTGGCTCACTGGAACCTCCGCCTCCCAGGTTGTAACAATTCTCCTGCCTCGGTCTCCCGAGTAGCTGGGACTACAGGGATATGCTGCTACACCTGGCTAATTTTTTTTATTTTAGTAGAGACAGGGTTTCACCATGTTGCCCAGGCTGGTCTTGAACTCCTGAGCTCAGGCAGTCCACCTGCCTCAGCCTCCTAAAGTGCTGGGATTACAGGCATGAGCTGCTGCACCTGGCTGGGTTTGCTAATACTTTGTTGAGGATTTTTGCATCAATATTCACCTGAGATACTGGCCTGTAGTTATCTTTTTTTGGTGTGGCTTTGTCTGGTTTTGGTATCAGAGTAATAGTGGCCTCATAGAATGAGTTTGGAAGTATTCTCTCCTTCTCTTTTTTTTGGAATAGCTTGAGTAGGATTAATTCTTCTTTAAACATTTGCTAGAAATCAGCAGTGAATCAACTGGGTCCCAGGCTTTTCTTTACTGGGAGACTTTTTATTACAGCTTCAATCTCATTCCTTGTTATTGGTCTGTTCAGGTTTTGTTTGTCGTCTTGTTTCAATCATGGTAGGTTGTATGTGTCTAGGAATTTGTCCATTTCTTCTAGATTTTCCAATTTATTGGCATATAGTTGCTTACAGTAGCCACTGATGATCCTTTGAATTTCTGTGGTACCAATTGTCTCTGATTTTATTTGGATTTTTTCTTTTTTTTTTCTTAGTCTGGCTAAAGATTTGTCTACTTTGTTTAACTTTTCAAAACCCCAACTTTATGTTTCATTTATTTCTTTTGGGATTTTATTATTTGTTTTTCTACTAATTTTGGGTTTGGTTTGCTCTTTTCTAGTCCTTTAAGATACATCACTAGATTGTTTATTTGAAGTTTTTCCCTGTTTTGATATATAGCCACTTACAGATTTAAACTTTCCTCTTAGTACTGCTTTTGCTGTATCCCATAGGTTTTGGTATGTTGTGTTTCCATTATCGTCTGTTTCAAGAAATTTTTCAATTTTTGTAATTTTTTCATTGACCCACTGGTCATTTGAGAGCATATTGTTTAATTTCTTTGTAGTTTCAAAAATTCCTCATTATTAATTTTTAGTTTTATTCCATTGTGGTCAGAGATGCTTGATATTATTTCAGTTTTTGAATGTTTTAAGACTTGTTTTGTGACCTAACATATGGCCTGTCCTTGAGAATGATCCATATGGTGAGGAAAAGAATGTGTATTCTGTAGCTCTTGGATGAAATATTCTATAAATATGTATTAGATCCATTTATTCTATTGTGCAGATTAAGTCTGATGTTTCTTTATTGGTTTTTTCTCTGTTAAATCTGTCCAGTGCTGAAAGTGGGGTGTTGAACTCTCAACTATGATTATATTGGGACCTATCCCTTTAGCTCTAATAATATTCTCTTTATATATCTGGGTTTTCCAGTATTGGGTGCATATATTTTGAAAAGTGTTATATTCTCTTGCTGAAGGGACCCCTTTATGATTATATAGTGACCTTCTTTGCCCCTTCTTGTAGTTTTTTAGAAATCTATTTTGTCGATATAGGTATAGCCACTCCTGCTCTTTATTGGTTTTCATTGGCATGGAATATCTTTTTCCATCTCTTTATTTTCAGTCTATTTTTGTCTTTATAGGTCAAGTGTGTTTCTGGTAGGCAAAGGATTAATGGGCCTTGATTTTTCACCCAATCAGCCACTCTATCTTTTGATTGAAGAGTTTCAATTGAAGAATTTGATTGAAGAGATTCAATGTTGTTATTGATAAGTAAGCACCTACTCTTGCCATTTTGCTATTTGTTTTCTGGTTGTTCTGTCGTCTTCTTTCCTTCCTGCCTGCGTTTAGTGAAGGTGATTTTCTCTGGTTATATGATTTAGTTTCTTGCTTTTTATTTTTTGTGTATCCATTGTTTCTTGGGTTGAGGTTACTGTGAGGTTTGCAAATACTATCTTATAACCCATTATTTAAAGCTGATAACAACATTGTTTGCATAAACAAAAAGAAGACTAATAAAGACTCTGCACCTTAATTTTTTTTTACTATTTATATTTTATTGTACTTTGTTTTCAAAAGTTGTAATAGTTACTTTTTATTGGTTCATTGTTTGGTATTTCTACTTAAAGAGTAGTTTACACACCACAGTTATAGTGTTATAATACTCCGGTTTTTCTGTAATTAACATTACCAGTGAGTTTTGTACCTTCAGATGATTTCTTATTGCTCATTAATGTTCTTTACTTTCTGATTGACATACTCCCTTTAGCATTTCTTGTAGGGCAGGTCTGGTATTGATGAAATCCCTCAGCTTTTGTTTGTCTGGGAAAGTCTTTATATCTGCTTCGTGTTTGAAGGATAACTTTGCTGGATATACTATTCCAGGGTAAAGGTTTTTTTTTCCCTTCAGCACTTTAAATATGTCATACCACTCTCTCGTGGCCTGTAAGGTTTCTACTGAGAGGTCTGCTGCCAGATGTATTGGAGCTCCATTGTATGTTACTTGTATCTTTTCTCTTGCTGCTTTTAGGATCTTTTCTTTATCTTTGGCCTTTGGGAGTTTTATTATTAAATAAAATAATACAACTTGAGGTAACTTTCTTTGGGTTAAATCTGTTTGGTGTCCTATAACCTTTTTGTACTTGGATATTAGTATCATTTTCTAGGTTTGGAAAGTTCTCTGTTATTATCCCTTTGAATGTGCTTTCTACCCCATCTGTACCTCCTCTTTAAGGCCAATAACTCTGCCCCTCTGAGGCTGTATTCTAGATCCCTAGATCCCTCGTAGGTGTGCTTCACTGTTTACTCAGTTTTCTTTGGTCTCTTCTATTTTCAAATAACCTGTCTTCAAGCTCACTAATTCTTTCTCCTGCTTAATTCTCCTATTAAAAAACTCTTCAGTATGCCAGTTGCTTTCTTCAACTCCAGAATTTCTGCTTGATTTTTGATGATTTCAATCACTGTTAAATTTATCTGATAGAATTCTGAATTCCCTCTCTCTTATCCTGCATTTCTTTGAGTTTTCTCAAAACAGCTTTTCTGAATTCTCTGTTTGAAGGGTCACATATCTCTCTTTATCCAGCTTGGGTCCCTATGCCTTATTTAGTTTATGTTTTCCTGAATTGTCTTGACACTTGTAGATGTTCATCTGTGTCTGAGCATTGAAGAATTAGGTATTTATTATAGTCTTCTCAGTCTGAGCTTGTTTGTACCCATACTTCTTGGGAAGGCTTTCCGTATATTCTAAAGCACTTAGGTGTTATAATCTAAGCTGCATCTGCTTTAGTGGGGGGACCTCGAGCCTGGTAACACTGCAGTTCTTGCAGACTCATAGAGGTACCATCTTGATGGTTTTGGACAATATCCAGAAGACTTCTCTGAATTTTCAGGCAGAGATTCTTGTTCTCTTCCCTTGCTCTCTTTTCTGAGCCACCTGGAACTGTGGGTAGAGTGGCACAAGCACCCCTGTGACCACCACCAGATCTTGCCCAAGGCCTGATATAACCACTTCCTGGCTACCACATACATTCACTGAAAGCCCTGGGCTTCTGCAATCAGCAGGTGGCAAAGCCAGCCAGGTTTGTGTCCTTCATTTCAGGGCAGCAAGTTCCCCCAGGCCCTGGAAAGGTGCAGAAGTGCTGTCTAGGAGCCAGGGACTAGAGGCAAAAACCTCAGAAGTCTACTTGGTGTTCTGTTGTACTGCAGAGAAGCTGGCACTTAAACCACAAGACGGTCCTTCCTACTCTTCCCTCCCCTTTCTAAAGGCAGAGGAGCCTCCCCCCTTGACACCTCCACCTCACACACACACACACACACACACACACACACACACACACAGAGTACTGCCAGACTACTTCTGATGTTCCCTTAAGCCCCAAGGGCTGTTCAGTCAGCTTGTGGTAAATGCTGCCTGGTCTGGGACACAGCCTTCAGGGGGAGCGGATTCCCTTCTGGCTCAGGGAAAGTCCAGAAATGCCATCCAAGAGCCAAGTCTCAGAATTGGGGACCTCAAGGGTCTGCTTGGTGCTCTACCCTCCTGTGGATGCGCTGGTACCTAAGGTGTGAGACAAAGTACCCTTTACTTTTACCTCTGCTTTGCTCAAGCAGGAAACTTGCCCCATAGCCACCACAGCTGGGAATGTGCTGAGCCTCATCTGAAGCCAGCAAGTCTCAGAGTGTCACCCAAGGCCCTCATTGTAGAACCTGGCCATCACTGCTAGTTATTCAGGACTCAAGGCTCTTTAGTTAGTTAGCAAGTGATGAATGCTGCCAGGAATGGGTCCTTTCATTCAAGGCAGCGGGCTCCCTTCTGGTCTAGGATGTGTTTAGAAATGTCTTCTGAGAGCTAGGGCCTGGAATGGGGACCTCATGACTCTGACCGGTGTCCTATCCTGCTATGGCTGAGCTGGTATCCAAGATGTAAGACAAAGTCCTTCTCACTCTTCCATCTCTTCTTCTCAAGTGGAAGGAAGGGATCTCTTTTGGAGCTGTGCTCTGTGCAGCCTGGGGTAAGGGGAGAGGTGATACTAGTACTCCCTTAGCTGCCCCTGCTGGTGTCTCAGTATGTCACATGCTCCTCCAGTCCACACTAGGACTCATCTAGGTGTTGCAGTCCTTGTGGCCTAGAATGCCTTTCAAGTTTATTTAGAGCCCCAGAGCACTTTAGCTTATCATAGCAAGGCTTGTGGGAATTCAGGATCTGACCACGATCCTTAGCAATTCCTCTTTGGGTGGGACTGGTTTAAATGCTCCCTCTATGGGTGAGTATTAGCTGAATTTGGTCTGGTTTTGCTTTCTGCTATAACAAGGGAGCACTGAGTTCAGTATCTCACAATTGCTGCCCTTCCTCTTCCCCAGGGCACAGAAACACTCTCCACTGCGGCCAAGGATTGCAGGAGAGGTGGCATCAGTGATTCAAGACTTCTTTTCCTACCTCTTCAGTGTTTCTTTCAGTGATCTGAAGTTAAAGCCAGGTACCATAAGTGCTCACCTGATTTTTGCTGCTTACAAAGGTGCTTTTTTGGTGTGGATTGTTGTTACATTGGTGTCCTTGCAACAGGGGACAATTGTTGTAGCCTTCTATTCTGCCATCTTGCTCCACCCCTTTTATTTTGTCCTTTTCATACATAGAAGAGAACTTCCTGCCAAAGGAGACAACCCAAAGCCCCATCCATTGACTATTTTAAGCTCAAAATCTGAGATCCTTGGTTCATGCATAACCCTTTCCTTCAGGTCTGAATATGACCTTATGTTTTCATGGCTTAAGAACAGGTAGCTATATGTGTCATATGCACATACCCACTATACAACAATGAAGCCTTGCCAGGGTAGCCTCAGTAAAAGCTCCCATTCTGAAAAGGGAAGAATAAAAGAGACACAGCATCCACTGGTTAATAGCAGATTTAAAATACAGTGGACACACATGGGGAAAGCCTCCTCTACTGTGGAGTACAGAAAATTTCTGGATTAGATCCTGATTCTGCCCTTTGATAGTTTTCTCTTTAGTTTTTACCTTTGACTTCTAGAATGTTTTACTGTAATCATTTGATTTCTATGGCTACATCTGAAATGGCCATGGGGAATATGTCTTTTTTTTTTTTCCCTGAGGCTTCCCAGGTCTCAACCTGATTTGAGTTGATAAAGCTTGTAGTTGCCATCCCAGCCCATTTCCTGACTTTTTTTCTCATTTTATGGGAATGAGAGAGATATACTTTTATGAGTTTTATGCTACTGCTATTTAAAACTGCAGTTACAAACAGGTAAACCTAATGCAAACAAAATTAAATGTTTTCTGTTTGTTTGAGTTCATTTTTGTCTCATATTCTTTTCTTACAAAGTCCAGCTTTTGATATTGTTTTTGTTGTATTATATTTTCTTCATATACCTTGTTTCATTTTAAAATTTTTAATGCCAGTCTTTTAACTAGTAAGTTTAAACATTCACATTTATTGGAATAACTGTTGCATTTGGATTTTGCATCATATCTAGCATATTCTATGTATCCCCATTTTTCTACTCGTTTACCTCTTCTTTGCCTATCTCCCACTGCTAATCTGAACAGGACTGACTGAGATAAAAGCTGTGTCTCTGTCACTTCCATCAAAGGTCCTGGTCCATTCCCCTACAGTGACAAAAGATATTTCTCCCTCTCCTACTGGAGACACCCAATATCTCTTCTCCTTGTGAAAAGATTCCCTTCTTTTCTTTGCCTCACACCCTTTTGGCCTATCTTTTATTCCATCTATTGCTGCTGTAACCAGCTGCACACAGTAGTAATTTGGCAACAACTCACCTCATCTCCACTGCATAGCAAGTCTTCCCCGCCTTGGTGCTTTCATAAAACCAGGCAAGAGTTTATATGCACAGCTTGGGAAAGACGAGAGGCTTCTAAGTTCATGAGGCAACACCTAGCCCATGGGAGATACAAGTGCAGGTATAAATACCCCCACTTCTGTGCTTCAAGAGAAAATGATGGGTACATTCTATATGGCTCTTCTTAAGGGTCAATAGAAGTGAACTCTAGGTGCCCACAGCAAGAAAACATCTCGTATCAACTTTTTCTCCTTGCCTATTTCATTCTCCTAAGTCCTCCGCTCCTGTTACATGGAATCACTTCAAACAAACCAAAAAAAAAACAGAAACTACTGACTCATAAGCCCTTGTTTTAAGTGCTGCTCTGCTTTCAAGGGAGAACCCAAGCTAAGACAACATTCTTCATGTGAAATAACCTTCCAATCTTTACCTACCTTAATGAGGTTGTCTAGATATATTACATTTTTAAAGTATAATTCTTTCTTTAACTCTCAGAATCAAATGTAATACTCCAGGTTTCATTTTACCAGAAACACAATAGGATGCAACTTTTGTTTCTTGTAGTTTGGACACAACTTTGCTACTTTGTCAGCTATTAAAATTTACCTTAACATTCCCCAATATTTTTTAGAAGCTTCAAAATAAAATCTACCTCATCCTTTGCCTTTTTGTAATATAAGCCTTTTATTTTAGAATAGCTTATATTTATGTAAAATTGTGCTGGTAGTAAAGAGTTTTTACGTTAGCATACTACATTTATTGCAATGAGTGAATCAATAGTGCATGTTATTAACTAAAGTTCACACCCTACTTCGATGTCCTTGTTGTGTTCCAGAATCCCAAACAGGATACCATGTTATATTTAGTTGTAACGTCTCAGACTCCTCTGGCTATGACAGTTTCTCTTTGTTTTTGATAATCTTGAATGTTTGGAGAAGTATAGATAAAGTATTTTGTAGAATATCCCTCTATTGGGATTTGTCTGATGTTTTTCTCATGATTATATTGGGGTATGGATTTTAGGGAAGAAGAACACAGAAGTAAAGTACCTGCTATGGTTTGAATGTGTCCCACAAACGTTCATGTTGGGAACTTACTCCTCAATGCAACAGTGATGGGAGGTGGGGCCTAATAAAAGGTAATTGGTTCATGAGAATTCTGCCCTTATGAATTAATATCATTATCATGGGAGTGGATGGTGAGAGTAGGTTATTATATAGCAAGTAGGGCCTCTTGTGCCTGTTTCTCATGCTCTCTTCCACCTTCTGCCTTTCCCCATGGGATAACTCTCACAAGGTGCTGGTTCCACACTCCTGGTTTTCCTACTTTCCAGAACCCTGAGCCAAATAAACTTCTACTTTTAATAACCTGTTATAGCAATAGAGAATGGACTATGACAGTGCCATTCTCAGCTCATCATGTCAGGATACATACTAAGATTCTTATACTATATACTCTTTGGAAGAAAGTCACTGTGCATAGCTTGACTGAGGAGTTATGATACGCTTTTTGAGGGTGGAGTATCTACGTAAATGATTTGGGATTCTTCAATACAGGAGATTTCCCTTCTCTCTAGTTATTAATTAATTCAACCATTTATTTATAGCAGTATGAACTCATATATTTTATACATTAGGTTATAATCCAGCATTTATATTGTTGCTCAAATTTGTCCAGCTTTGGCCATTGGGAGCTCTTCCAGTTAGCTCCAGGTCTTTTTGACATATCCCCTTCCTAATAGTTTGAATTTTTTACTTTCTCATTATTATAACCAACTACTTCTTAACAGGAAAAGCCTATATTTCATATTAAGTTCTGTTCTCTTGGCTTTAGTTCATTATTCTAATATGCTGAAATGATTTGACTCTTCTTTCAATTTTTATTTATCTTTCCACATTTTGGTTCATCAGCAAATTTGATGTATCCTCTGTGTTTATATAAATACTCTAAACAAGACAGAAGCCCTGCGGTCTTCTGCTAAATACCCCCACCCTCTATCTCCCCTCCAGCCTGATCCTGAAGACTTAATTAGAACTTGTATGGTACCTTATTCACTCAGATAAAAGTGAATATTATCTTCTAGCTCACATTTTATCCTCTTATCCACAAGAACAAAAAAGAACAGGAAGTCTAATGGGAAAGTTTCATGTGGAGAATAATAATTATGAGGTAGTTCACTGTTCAGAAGTGAAAGGAGAATGTAGTTTAGTGGGAGGAGAGGCTCTGGAATTTTATCATTTTAAGGAAGGAAGCAGTTATCAGATTTGGAGGGCAAAACATACAGAATGAAAGATGAATTGAAGTAACCTCCAGTTCTCCACACAGACTGTGTGACATCGAACCAGAAGAGAAAGGGCACAAAAACGTTTCAGGGTCACATTAGTTTCCATGGTGGTAAGAAGGAGGAGTAGAAGAAAAGAATCATGCTTGGAAGTGGCAGATAACAAGAACACTGACCAGAGTAGATAGACGCATGTGTGTGCAGTTTAAAAATAAGTGAATACTGCCAGGCCTTCACATCCAAAAACCTCCAGTGACTTCAATTTTAGCTTCTACTTAACATGTTTTCTGATGCTTCTGAAGTAGCCACTGCATGGAGAGAAACAGTGCTTCTAAAAAGCAAACCCGTGCTCCTGGCTTAGACAGTCCATTGTTAAGAAGAAAGTGAGTTTGGGGGAATGCTTCTCAGAGAAAAGCCAACAAATTGAATTTGTAGCCTGAGATGATTCCAGAATAATTTCTGAGAATACATATTCAACCCTGATCATTTTTCAAGTGTGTTCCTTCAGTGCTGCCAACCATAGAACACCTATTACTTGCAAGACCTTGTGTTTGTCTTAATTCTCCTAACAACCCAATGGGATAGGTGTGATTATTTTCACTTACCAATATGGAACTGAGTGTCAGAAAGGTGCCTCATGTCTGGTGACAGCAGCAAGAACACTCAGGTTGTTCTGGGATTATGGCAGTTCTCTGGCTACCTCAAAGATGTTGAACAACTATTAACATAGGATGGAACACTTTGTCTCAGCAATGGGGGTATTTACCTCTCTGAATACAGAAAAATATAAAAATGAAATTTTGGACTTCATAACTCAGTTTCACTTCAGATATATTAGGTTTTGACAAAGTGGCTTTTTACTTTTATTGCTACCTGTGAATCTGACTCCATCATACTTTGTTATGCAGCTGAGCTTTTAGAAGTCATCGCTAGGTAAATATGTTATTCAGAGTCACAATCTTTTACCTGACCCCTCAAAAAAAAATTCCAACCTGGAACTTTTATCAAAAGAAGTGAGTTCAGAGGAGAGTGATACTAATTCCTGAAGCTGAGACTTAAAATTAACTGTTTTGCCAAAGGCAAGGTACATTTATTTAATCTTGAGCAGGCCAGAAAACTCCAAGTTCATTCTCCAGGCAGTATTTTTCTTCCTTTTTGCTCCTGCTTCCTCCATAAGCTATACTTATATCCTCACAGGTCTAGGTGATATTTCAATCTTTCATCAATAGCAGGCTGATTTATGGTTATTGAAAAAAGTTCATAGGCAGCGTATAACATCAGACCTTATTCCCAGTAAATTTTCTCAGAGGAAATTTTGTGTGTTGTTCCTCCTTGCACCTGCCAGAAAATATTTACCTGATCCGTAAAACTTTGAGGTCCTGACTGATTAACATGCTGGTAGAAACCTTGAGGAAATCACTGTTCCTGAAAGTTTTCATTAGCACATTCTTCTTGGAAGATAGCATTCTTCGGCCTGCAGTCTGATTATTCTCCAGTCTCAGCAGTCTCCTGGCATGGGGCCACTGTAAACTGGAACATCTTTTGTTTTCTCAACCTCAGTGAAAGTTGATGGGTTTAATTGTTATTACTTCTCTTAGAGAATGATCATATTTATTGACCGTTGATGCAGCTATGTATCCAACGCAATGATCTCAGGACAATTCTTTTAATCTATGCTAGCCTGTTAGCATAGCGCTCTTGAGTCCTAAATGATGACATCATAAATTCACCTTTCAAAGCAAGAATATGAAGGAAGGCAAAAAAGATATTAGGGATCTTGGAAATGTTAGTACAAACTAAATTAGACTCTCTAAGTATGAGAACAGGGGGCATTCATCTCTCCAGTCACCTCAGTTATATGTATGTCTCACCGTCTGAACACTGTTTAGAAATAAAGAAGAAATGTGAATATTGAAGCTCCTAACCCAAATAATGCCTGAAGTTAAGCGCTTGGGAATCTCTTCAGTAGTCCCTGGGCAGACCCAAGCTCTTCTACCTCTCTGAGGGGATTTGAGTAATTGGTTCCATTAAAAGCTGGAACCAATGATGATCAGCATTTTTCTGGTTCATGGTGCATGGTGTTATGTTTGGAGTCCTGTTCCTTGTCATCATCGTATTGCAGTGCAGAAGCCTAGCTATTGGTGGTTTGATTAGATTCAGCAATATTGTCCTGGAAGGTCCCGGAAGGATTTAAAACCAACTTCTAGAATTTGGAAATACGGATCCTGGTTTATTTCTCTCCTCCTTTATCGTCTGTAACTCACAATACTCCTTTTAAAATTCACTCCATTGTCCATAGCCCTAGGAAGATAATATCTTCTTTTTGTGCCTTTTTTAAGAGCTATCTTATGTTTATCATTGGTCAAAAGTTGCACCCTGTGATAATCTGACTACTGGGAAGAAACCCAGGACGTTTTTTAGCCTTTTGTAAGAAACTTGAGATCCTTGTCCCATGGTGAAGAACATGGGAATGGGGATGGGGACCAGAGTAGGGATTCCAAAGGAAGGGGATTCTCTTGCCCAGATTGCAGGGTCATAGATCTAGTAAGGAAGACTGTATCTCCTCCAGAGATTAGAAAAATCCGTTAGCCCTGAATTTCTCATTAACTAGGATATGTTTGTGTTCCGAGCTGGATAATGAACATGAACACACATACATCTGTCTGCTTTGGTGAACTTTTACAAGAAAGAAGATTAGTGTTCTACTAGTCTGTAAGTCTGGGCTTCTACTGTTGGACTGGGTATGAAATCAAGGTTTAGTATGTGCCATGTAGAAGTCTGAACCCCCAGTGGCTACTATCAACTGCTGCATGTCTTCAGAAAGGAGAGAGATATGGCAAGGGTGAGAAGCAAACACTAAGATAGCATCTTGACATTGTACAGCAATAGATGTCATTGCTAGGTTTTCCGGAACTTTTTTTTTAATAGGAAAGATAGGCATTTCACAGGTAGAAGAAAATGTCAATAAACACATTGAGTCAGGTTATTGAATTTTCAGAAACATGAAAATAGGCTGTTCATACAAAGGTACAAATTTGTGAATAACTTTCACTTTTATAGCCATATACATTTCCATATTGTCAATTTGGCTTTGTTATTTCCAAAAAATAAAGTTGGCCTATTTTTTTAAAATTTTCAAAGGACAGCCCCATTTTCATGTCTTAAAATAAGGATTATAGATTCACAGGAAATTGCAAAAATACTAGACATTCTTTAGCAAAGTCTGGAGCTAAAGCTGGCTCAAAGTGGTCAAGTTATAATGAAATCTTCTGGGCTTCCTTATGTACCTTTCACCCAATTTCCCCCAATGGTAACCTAAGTTATGTTACATAAGATTATAGCAAAACCAGAAAACTGACAGTGACACAATTCTCGTACTGTGTTCAGATCTTACCGTTTTTACCTGTACTCACTTGTGTGTGTGGGCACACCTGTCTATAGTTTTATGCACTTTTGTCATGTATAGATTCATAGCCACCACTACAAGATAGAGAACTAGTCCATCATGACATATCTCTCGTGTTACCTTTTATAGTCACATGTATCTCCCTCTACCCATCTCTAATCTGTACTTCAATCTCTATAATCTTGTCATTTTGAGAATATTATGTAAATAGAATCATATAACCTTTTGAGATTGCTTTTCTTCACTCACAATTGCCTTGAGGTCTATTCAAGCTGTAGTTTTTCTTTTTTATTGCTGAACAGTATTCCGTGGTATGGGTATACCAGTTTGTGTAACCATTCATCCATTGAAGGACATCTGGGTTCCCCCCAACCCCCAGTTTTTGGCTATTGCAAATCAAGCTGCTGTAAACATTTGTAAATAGGTGTTGGTGTAGAGATGAGTTTTCATTTCCTTGAGATGAATACCCAGGCGTGTAATTGCTGGATCATATGGTTGGTGTATGTTTAATTTTTTAAGAAACTGCCAAATATTTTCTAGAGTAGTTTCACAGTTCTACATTCTCACCAGGGGTGTATACGGGATCCTCTTTCTCTGCATCCTTGCCAACATTCGGTACTATCACTATTTTTCATTTTAGCTGCTTTAATGGTTAAATAGTCATCCTCACTTTTACTTTTTATTTTAGGTTTGGGGATACATGTGAAGGTTTGTTACACAGGTAAACATGTCATGTGTCACAGGGGTTTGTTGTACATAGCATTTCATCACCCAGGTATTAAGCCCAGTACCCATCTTTTCTGCTCCTCTTCCTCTCCCCTCATGTGGACCCCAGTGTGTTTCTTCTTCTTTGTGTTCCTATCGTGTAGCTCCCACTTATAAGTGAGAAAATGCAGTATTTGGCTTTCTGTTCTCGCATTAGTTTGCTAAGAACAATAGCCTCCAGCTTTATCCACATTCCCACAAAAGACATGATCTTATTCTTTATGGCTGCATACTATTCCATGGTGTATATGTACCACATTTTCTTGATCCAATTTGTCACTGATGGGCATTTAGGTTGATTTCATGTCTTTGCTATTATGAATAGTGCTGCAATGAATGTTCGTGTGCATGTGTCTTCATGGTAGAATGATTTATATTCATCCCCAATTTTAAATACCATAAAATATCATTTGTTTTCTTGCCATCAAAAACAGCTGCTCCAAGAGAAAAGGTAGGTTAGCTCCATGGACAATACATACAAGAACAATTGCATGGTTCATGTCCTGATTTGCATGCGATTCAATAACTTAGTTAAATCCTGTGAAGTTAAATGTCCAAGAATGATACAGGTATTAATGCAGCAAATTTTGACTGGGATAATTAAGTTTCTTATTAAATACATTTTTCTCTGGCAAAGTCAAAAAACTTGCCAATTACTACACTAATTGTATTGAGTTCAGAGGTGATTATACTGAAAAATCACTCTGGGGGCTATATAGAAATTTAACATACATCTTCTGACTTTAGTGTTTGCTTCTTTGGTTAATATTTGAACATTCCACTCTACCTTTTCTCAGTGTGTTTGAGAACACTAAAGTATAGAAGGGAGGGTTCTGTTCACTTCCCTATGGAGAGCTAATTATGTAGATTACACTCCCTGGATTCCAATTATTACAGATGACATCATCATTCTTTCACTTCCTGGGTCAAGGTAGAGTGGGGTACATTTGCCTAGATGCCAACATCTGTCCTCCTCCCAAATGGAACTCAAGGGGTCAGCTCCCCTTGTTGTGTAGCATTAGAAGTAAGAGGCATTATTTTTCCTGGTTCTGTTTTTCTGTTGCATCAGATCCCTGAGAACATGAGAGGCTTTGAATTCTATGCTGAAAAATTCCCCTCAAGTATATGAGGTCCAACTGAAATCCTTTGAGCCATATTTTAGCTTTTATGCATTTCAATTATGAGGAAGAGTCAGCTGAATAGCACGAATGCAACATAAGCCAGCCAGTTGGAAGAGAGTGGTGCCATAAATTTATGAAGAGAAAGAGCCTGTTGAGAAGAGGAAAGAAATGCAGATCTCAATCACTTTAATCTATCACCTATAAAAGTGTTTAGAAAAACTGTAAATCATAAATGCTTCCATTTATAATCACTCATTTGCAAGGAGGAAGAAAAAAATCAGAGAGGAATGTCTAGGGTAGAAAATCTCATGCTCTTCCTAATGTGTCACATGTGCAATGTAGGGTATTTAAAAGGCACCATCCTTTGAGGAAGAACATACAGAAACATTGCTTTTTCCAGAAACCATATTGGTGAAAGTGTTTTGATGGAAACCAGCCTTGGGAAATGTTTTCTTCTGGCTTTGTCAGCCTAATGGGAATGGTAAAGTTGTTTCCCCAAAAAAAAAAAAAATCTTTATAGAAATATGTTGCCTCCTGGTAAGTTTAAAGTTGTCTTTTTAGGCACAGGTCAGGAAGTTATCTCAGATTCATAGTGGTGTGTGGCGTGTTCTTTCTACCCAACTTTTATCAAAGAACAAAGTTCAGAGGGCATCAGAGTTACAATTCAAACAGTCTCAGAGGAAGACAAAACAAGGCTATCTTTAATAAATAAAAACAATGGAAAAGGAATCCCAATGGCTAATGTTTATCTTGCTTCTAAGATTCCTTATGAAATAGTGGAAGAATTCTTAGGACTCATTTTTTCTTCTCTTCTCCCAGGCAATTATCAAGACTTCATTTTGTATCAGCCCAGGATCTCTTCCCTCTCTTATTGACACATCATCTGTTAGTATTTCACAATTTTTTCTAGATTCATACAGAATAGGTTTGGTCTTGAGCCCTATTTTGCTCTTGCTATCATTTGTCTCATTCTGGGGCCTCTACTATTTAAAGCCTTATATTATATGCTGATAACTTGTGATCATTTGAATAACAATATAGCCAGAGTCCCTAAATTTCATTCATCATGTCTTGAGAGAAAACTGTTACTCCTATCTCTACTTCCAGAGCAGGGATTATCCCCAAATCATGTGACTTCCTAATAACCACTAAAATTGAAGATTTTAATCACTTAGTTGCTAAATATTCTTAGTCACTAGACTTGTCCTCTAATAAACTTAGACTGATACATGAAGAATCTTCCCCTGACATAATTTGATGGTCAGATGCAAAGGCCCTAGTCAGTATCTATGCTTTCCGCTTCCCCAGACTCTAAGCACTGAATTGCACTTGTTCTCTATACCCTCTATACCATCTTTTCTAGGTTTGTGCTGAAATGTTTAAAAAACTGTTTCAGAGTATATTACTGAAGGAGTGGATTTATGTGTCTCAAAAAATAGCAGTAATAGCATCTCACTCTGTCGTCCAGGCTGGAGTGTAGTGGCAAAATCTCGGCTCACTGCCTCTCTGGCCTCAGCCTCCTGATTCACTGGGACTACAGGCACGTGCCACCACACCCAGCTAATTTGTCATATTTTATTTTTAGTAGAGACAGGCTTTCACCATGTTGGTCTCAAACTCCTGACCTCAAGTGATCACCCACGTCAGCCTCCCAAAGTATGAAGGAGTGGATTTAGATACTCAGTTCTCCATTATGTCCAGATCAATCCTTCCTTATTCCTTCTCCACCTGTTGGCCACTGCTTGGCTATTCTATTTTGCACCAGTCTATTTTCTTGTTTCAGCCTAGACCCAAGGGACCATCCCTTCAATGTTTTTCCTGTAAATCTGCACTGCCATTTCCAACTCTGGGTCAATTCAACCACCCGCCATCTCTGACTTACATATCTGGACTATTGAACCCTGTTGGTGCAAATTCACAAAGTCAAAGGCACCAGAATGTACTTTCTGAACTCTGGCTGTACATTAGAACTAACTAACTGAGGAGCTTCGGGAAAAAAAATATATGTATATCTATATATAGATATCTATAGATCTATATATAGAGAAAGATATATTTCTTCCCAGAACAATTAAATCAGCATCTTTCAGGGGAGAAACTGGGAACGTGTATTCTTGCAAAGTTCCTAAGTGATTCTATTATGAAGGAGGGATTGAGAATCTGAAATTACACATCTGTGGTTGCCAGTGTCAGCCGGGTCCTTATTTTCATTTCCTTCTCCTCTGTTCTATTCTTTTAGCTGTTGACCTTGACTTTCACCTCCTTTAAATAATTGCCATTGGGCAGAAATTCCAGCTTCTCCTTGCTTTCATCCAGACCCTACCGGCCTACATCTGTTTCATCCCTAATCTTTACCTTTCAAATAAAGCAACAGAAAAATATTTTTTCATTTTAATCTCCCATCCTCACCCATCTTCTATATCTATCCTTGAAGTTCTTTCCCATTAATATTTAAATATTGCTTTGTGCAGTGGCTCACACCTGTAATTGCAGCACTTTAAAAGGCCAAGGTGAATCACTTGAGTCCAGATGTTCTAGGCCAGCCTGGGCAACATAGCAAGACTCCACCTCTAGCTGGGCATGGTGGCACATGCCTATAGTCCAAGCTACTTGGGAGGCTGAAATGGAAGGACTTCTGGAGTCCAAGACTGCAGGGAGCTATGATCACATCACTGCACACCAGCCTGTATGATAGAGTGAGATCCGGTTTCTAATTAAAACAAAAGAAAACATTTAAACCTGCTCAAATTGTTGCCACCTTTAAAATAGTGTCTCACCTATGCCTTGGCCTCTTCCTTTATAAAATTGATTAAACAGCAATCTAAGCTTTCTCCATTTTATCACATTATATTTACTTTTCAAACTACTGAAAATCTAGTTTCCACCCATCTGTATGATTATTCTCACTGTGCCAATGATTAACTATTTGTTATTAAATCCAAAGGATGTTTTCTAGGCTTATCTTTTTTGAACTCTTGATAGCATTCGATTCTGCTCATTCATCAGGTTTCTTATTTTCTCTTTTCCATGGGCTTCTTGACACATTTTCCTTCATGGATCCTTCTGCCCTGGTCCTTGATTCTCTCCTTTTTTTTTTTCTTTTTTCAACACATTTTTCCTTTGTAAGTTAATTAAATCCCATGGCTCCAATTACTACTTACATGTGAATGACTCCCAAGTCACACGTGCGTCTCAGAATTCTCCCCTGAGCTCATGAAAAGCTCCATTTGGTCAAGAGCATAGTAGCTAAGAATTTGAGCCCTCCAAAGTCTACGCTTTCTCTATTACCTATCTAAGCAAATGGCTGGCCCCTATCTAGCTGCAGAAGCCAGAAACAGTCATGTGATTCCACCTCTTAATGTCCCCAGAATCCAATCCCTATGTTGTATTTCTACTACCATAGTTTAGGCTCCCCTCATTCCTTGCCTAGCTTACGGGTAGAGGAGCATAGTGGACTTCTTACTTCAGTCTGGCCCCTATCTAATGTTTTCTATATACTCCATCTCTTTTCTGTCTGTCCTTGGACTTGAAGATGTTCATTTGGGTCTTTCAAGGTAGAAATCAAAGGGGGTAAAAAAACAAAAGGATACATCAAGAGAGCGTTTGAAGTGAAGATCCATGAGTCTTACCTAGATAGCAGAAGAAATGGAAACAAAAAGGTCATAGACACATCGGAAGAACGGGAAAAGATCAGTGTAATAGAGATCATGACACTGAAGAACAGGTAAAGGAGTGAAGGAGACAGATGGGAGAGGAAGAAAATGAAGTGCTTTTTCACTTTTCAGATAAATTTGATCCGTCCTTTTGCTAAAGCATCCCTAGATAGAGTTTTTAAAACATGCCAACATAAACCTGCAAAGGAAGTAGATAATGAAGTCTGTAGAGAGAGGCCTTGGTATTAAGTAGGTCAGTGTTTATGGTATGGAAACCAGGACCAGTGGGAGGAAACTGGATCCTTTCACACTACACTATGTCAAGTACAGATTAAATAGAAAAAAATCCACATTGTTTTCCAAAATACAGTTTTATATTCCTCCTGGGAATATATTTATGGAGAGACAATCCTTAAACTTCTGGAGAGCTTTTGCCTTTCAGAAAAATTTAGGTAGGTGAAAGAGTAATTGGAGTCTTCAATCTTTAAGCCCGTGAGTAAAGTTGTAAAAAGTCATGACAAGTTATTTAGCACAAAATTGAAAATTCAATCATATCTGCAAGATCCATCACAACTGGGGTTGCCTTACCTTTCCAGCTTCATCTCTTACTCTGTCCCTTTGCTGTCTCAAATGCAGTAAGATGGAAGTACTTTTAATTCACTAAGCATTACCATGTTTTCTCATTCATCTTTATGTTTTTGTCACTCTCTTGACTTGAAGTCATAGCCTCTGTGCAAGCTCCTCTACCAGGAAAGTGTTAGAAACATAATAACTGCTGACTAAATGCTTTTGAAATAAAAGACAAAGTTTTGAGTAGAAAAGCTATGCACAGAAAGGAGCCGTTTGCATGGTGATTTTTAAAAATCAGTGAACAGATTTTGTTTTAACCAAAATAAAATAATGAGACTATTGAAGGGTTTCTACAGCCTTAGATTTGCAGGCATTAGGCTACTGGGAAAGCCCAGGGCTGTGATGGTGCAGATGGGGGTAAATATAAGACAGTATAAAGAGAAAACTGCACATCCAGATATGACCTTGATGGTGTCCAATCGTCTGGGTCTGCAGTTTTTTCTTTATATCAGGAGGCTAGGTTCCATCACAAGTTAATGTCTATCAGGTTCATCATCTGAACAGAGATTCTACATCATGCTTAATCTTAAGTTTCTCCTATTCTATAAAGACTGCAGATACACATGGAATACTCCATTGCAAAATCCCATTTACTAAGGTATAGTTGTAGGTGAGGAGATGTGGAATTTCTGGGTCACAGGTTTTGTAAGTAATGCCAAACAGTCTTAAACACTGCACTAGTTCACATTGCCGCCTGCAGCTTATGAGAGTTTCACTTAACATCCTTATCTGCATTTGTTATTTCTGCCTGAATAACTACCTTTGGTATTTTCATTATTGCTTGTTTACCAGTAATGAATTGCCTCATTTTTGTTCCACTGAAGTATGTTTATTTCATTTTCTTTCTTTTTAAAAGAACTGTCTCTGTAATCCCAGCACTTTGGGAGGCAGGTGGGTCATCTGATGTCAGGAGTTCGAGACCAGCCTGACCAACATGGTGAAACCCTGTCTTTACTAAAAATACAAAAATTAGCTGAGTGTAGTGGCACACACCTGTCATCCCAGCTACTTAGGAGGCCGTGACAGGAGAATCGCTGGAGGTTGCAGTGAGCTGAGATCGCACCATTGCACTCCAGCCTGGGCAACAGAGCAAGACTCCATCTCGCTTGGGGGTGACTATACTGAAACTATACCTGGCATCCAGTTCTTACATCAGGTCAATAAAATTAAGATCGCCCACTCTTTCCCCTTAAATAAGACATCTAGATGGACTAATGACTACCACCCTATTAACCAGTCACAGGAGCACTGTCACGCATTTGGTATTTTTAACTGTAGGGGATGCCATCACTCAACATCGCGGAAGGCCTAGTCCCTGCTGAATCCACTGTAGACGAACTCGGATTTGATTCCTGCCAAATCAATTGTAGAAGCTGAGCTTTTATTGAATATTCTGGGCTGACACAGTAACCATACAGTGTTAATTAATTCATGCTTGAAGGACATAACAATCAGTAGACCTGCACGTATGCTCACTTTCAAGAACTATTTCCGATTAGATCCGCAACCCCCACCCCCATCTCTGAATTTACCATCAACCTAGGTAAATGTACCCTTGCCAAACCTCAAAAACAAGACTAAAATGCAACCCAGTTGGAGCCCAGAAATCACATTTTAACCATGAATACAACAGCTACCACTCAATTGATGTAATTTTTCTAAAAATCGTAAGACCCTCCCACTAAATTAATACTGCATTTTGTATAACTCAATTTCCACCCTAATACTAATATAATACCTTGAGCATCTCCCTCTGAAAGCACTGCCCCATATATCATATCCTAAATAAATTATACTCTAATTATAAGTAATCCTCTCAGCCAAAGCTCTGCCAATTCAACTTTAAAGACCCTGAATTTCCAAAACTGTAAACGACTATTTATATGTATTTCTTTCTGTCTTATACTTCAACTTTATACTTAAGTATTTATGTAGCTAATGTAGCTTAATTATTCAAAGCAAGACACTGAAAATATCTAGATGGGTCTGCACAACCCCATAAACAGATAGGTTTGGCCCTGACCTTTTTATTAGCTCTTAGTAAGATTACACATGCAAGCATCCCTGCCCCAGCGAAAATGCCCTCAGAGCAGGTATCAAGCATGAATACAGCTCAAAACACTTTGCCCAACTACACCCCCACAGGAACAGAAGTGATAAATCTTTATTAATAATAATCGAAAGTTTAACTAAGCTATACTAATAGTTAGGGTTGGTCAATTTCGTGCCAGCCACCACACGATTAACCCGAGCTAATGGAACTCAGCGTAAAGAGTGTTTAAGGTCTGCCCTCAATAAAGTTAAAGCCCATCTAAGTTGTAAAAAACTCCAGCTGAAATAAAATGTACTACAAAAGTAGCTTTAATACCCTGAAGACACAATAGCTAAGACCCAAACTGGGATTAGATACCCCACTAGAGTTACATTAACAAAACCATTTGCCTGAGCAACAGCTTAAAACTCAAAGGACTTGGCAGTGCTTTATATCCCTCTAGAGGAGCCTGTTCTATAATCAATGAACCCTGATACACCTCACCGCCTCTTGCCCCCAGCCTATATAGGGCCATCTTCAGCAAACCCTAAAAAGTTTATTGAGTAAGCACAAGTACACACATAAAAATGTTAGGTCAAGGTGTAGCCCATGAGATGGCAAGAAATGGGATACATTTTCTATGTCCAGAAAATCTCACGACAACCTTTATGAAATCTAAGGACTCAGGAAGATTTAGCAATAAACCAAGAGCAGAGTGCTTGGTTGAATAAGGCTATGAAGCATGCACACACCACCCGTCACCCTCCTCAAATATCCCTCTAGAAATCACTATTACTAATAATTTTCTATGCATGTATAAAGGAGATAAGTCATAACATGGTAAGTGTACTGGAAAGTAGCCTTGGACAAACCAAAGTGTAGCTTAACCCAAGGTATCTGGCTTACACCTGGAGGATTCCATCATGACCTGATCACTTTAAGCCAACTCTAGCCCCAAACCTCGCTAAAAATTTTATCAAACTATCTTAATCAAACCATTTACCTTAGACAAAAGTATAGGCAATAGAAATTTTTACCCTGGCACGATAGACATAGTACCGTAAGGGAAAGATGAAAGAACTATATCAAGCATTAAAAAGCAAAGCAAAACCCTTATACCTTCTGCATAATGTATTAACTAGAAATAACTTTACACAGAGAACTACGGCCAAGTGTCCCAAAACCAGATGAACCACCCAAGAACAGCTGAAAGAGCAGACTCACCTATGTGGCAAAATAGTAAGAAGATTGATAAGTAGTGGTGATAGCTGGTTGTCCAAGATGGAATTTTAGTTCAACTTTAAATTTACCCACAGAATTACTTAATCTTCCTGTATGTTTAACTGAGTCTAAAAACAGGGACAGCTCTTTAGACATTAGGAAACAACCTTCCTACAGAGAGTAAAAAATATTACCACCATCGTTGGCCCAAAAGCAGCCACCAATTAAGAAAGTGTTTAAGCTCAACATCTAACTATCTTAAATTCTAATCACGCTACTGAACCCCTAACATCACATTGGTCTAATCTATTACTTAATAGAAGCAATAATGTTAACATAAGTAATATGAAGATATTCTCCATTGTATAAGCTTACATCAGACTGGAATAATCCACTTACAGTTAGCAGCATAACATTAATAAACAATATAATAAGCACCCTATTGTTTACACTGTTAACCAACACAGGTATGCTCTAAGGAAAAATTACAAAAAGTAAAAGGAACTTGGCAAATCTTGTCCCGCCTATTTACCAAAAACATCACCTCTAGCATTACCAGTATTAGAGGCACTGCCTGTCCAGTGACATATGTTCGATGGCCGCAGTATCCTGACTGTGCAAAGGTAGCATAATCACTTGTTCCCTAAATAGGGACTTATATGAATGGCCACATGAGGGTTCAGCTGTCTCTTACTTTTAATCAGTGAAATTGACGTATCCATGAAAAGGCAGATATAAACAAATAAGACGAGAAGACCCTATGGAACTTTAGTTCATTAATACAAGTAAAACTCAAGCCTACAGGCCCTAGCCTACTCCCCCTGCATTAAAAATTTTGGTTGAGGTGACCTCAGGGCATAATCCAACCTCTGAACAACCTAAACTAAGACCGCACTACTCTAAGTGAATACACATTGACCCAATAATTTGATCAATGGAATAAGTTATGCTAGGGATAACAGTGCAATCCTATTCTAGAGTCCATAGCGACAATAGGGATGACTACCTCGATGCTGAATCAGGACATCTTAATGCTGGAGCCGCTATTAAGAGTTTGTTTGTTCAACGATTAAAGTCCTACGTGATCTGAATTCAGACCAGAATAATCCAGGTCAGTTCCTATCTATTTAACATTTCTCCTAGTATGAAACAAGAGAAATAGGGCTCACTTAATAAAGCACCCTCGCTCCATAGATGATCCTATCTCAATCCAACAAATCATCACACACCCTACCCAAGAACAGGGCTTAAGATGGCAGAGGCCGGAAATTGCATAAAACTTTATAATCAGAGGTTCAACTCCTCTTCTTAACAATATGCCTATAATTAACCTTTTCCTACTCATTATCCCCACTCTTATTGCTATAGCATTCCTTATATTCATTGGATAAAAAATCTTAGGCTATATACAACTATGCAAAGGACCTAACATTGTAGGTCCCTATGGGCTGCTTCAACCAGTCGTTGATGCAATAAAACTTTTCACCAAAGAACCCTTAAGGCCCTCAATATCTACTATTACCCTCTATATTACTGCTCCAATCCTAGCCCTTTCTATTGCTCTCGTCTTATGAACTTCCCTCCCTATACCAGACCCTCTAATTAATTTCAATATAGGCCTCCTATTTATACTAGCCACATCAAGCCTGGCTGTCTACTCTGTGATCAGGATGAGCATCTAATTCAAAATATTCACTAATCGACACATTGTGAGCTGTGGCCCAGACAATTTCATACAAGGTCACCCTAGCCATTATCCTATCAGTTCTACTGATAAGTACATGTAAGTTAAATGAGCCAGTTATCACAGTGCAAGAATTCCTCTGACTGGTCTTGCTATCATGGCCTCTAACCATAATACGATTTATCTCCATACTAGCGAAACTAACCGAGCGCTTTTTGATCTAACAGAGGAGGAGTCAGAGTTAGTCTCAGGCTTCAACATCGAATATGCCACAGGCTCATTTGCCCTCTTCTTTATAGCAGAATACATGACTGTTATCATAATAAATGTCCTAACTACTACTGTCTTCCTAGGAGCACTACACACTATATATTCACGAGAACTCTATGCCACAAATTTCATTTCCTACAGCCTTCTTTTAACCACCCTATTTTTATGAATTTGAACAGCATACCCTTGATTCCGTTATGACCAGCTCCTGTATCTTCTATAAAAAAATTTCCCACCACTTAAGCTAGCATTCTGCATATGATATATCTCAATGCCGGTCGTAATTTCCAGCATGCCACCCCAAACATAGGAAATATGTCTGACAAAATAATTACTTTGATAGAGTAAACAATACAGGTTAAAATCTCTCATTTCTAGAACTACAATAGAGGTTAAAATCCTCTTATTTCTAGAACTATAAGAATTGAACCTACCCCTGAGAATCCAAAATTATCTGTGCTACCTATTACACTATGTACTAGAGTAAGGTCAGCTAAATAAGCTGTTGGGCCCATACCCCAAAAATGTTGGTTACACCCTTCCCATGGCAATTAATCCCTTAGCTCAACTTGTTATTTCCCTGTTTTCACAGGAACTCTTATCACAATGCTAGGCTCACACTGATTTCTCGTCTGAACAGGCCTAGAAATAAACATGCTCGCCCTTACCCCAATCTTAATTAAAAAAAAAAATCCCCGCTCTACAGAAGCAGCCACCAAATATTTCCTTACACAAGCACCACATCTATAATTCTCATGATAGGTATCCTTTCCAATAACCTGTCCTCTGGACAATGAACAATAAACACTATTAATCAGTTTTCATCCTTAATAATAATAGTGGCCCTAGTAATAAAACTAGGAATAGCCCCCTTTCACTTCTGAGTCCCACAGTTAACCCAAGAAACCTCTCTAATTTCTGGCATACTTCTCCTCACATGACAAAAACTAGCCCCTATCTCGATTATGTTTCTAATTTTCCCATCAACAAACACGAACATCCTCCTGTCTATCACAATCCTATCCATTATAGTAAGCGGTTAAGAAGGGCTTAACCAAACAACTGCATAAAATCTTAGACTACTCTTCAATCACTCACATAGGTTGAATAATAGTACTAATCTATAACCCAAACATTACCATTCTAAACCTGATTTTTTTTAACTTTTAACTTGCTTTAATAATTGGATTCAATTAATATCAGTATTATTGTGTATAGTAAATCCTTAACATTGTTGATAGTTTTTTAGAAACCGATTTTAAGCAAAATGAAACAAAAGAAAACCCATTTTACCCTAGGCTAATTGATATCAGCAAGAGTTAAGTTCCTACAGCATATTTCTGGTCACAAAAACATCACCAAACTTCTGAATAAAGACCAAACACTTCTAATATTTAACACTGAAATAAATATGAGCTATATGTACATTGAAGAAAAACCAATAAAAATCACTTCTCAGCGTTTTAGCTAAGATCAAGTGAAGAAAGATCAATAAAAACAAGATAATTATTTACCAACTTTTTTCAGTTACAGTTCGAGGTGAGATCTGCATGATGACACAAAGCCAAACTGTATCAAGATCCTTAGATAACGTCCTTTCATTCAAGGTCATTTCCTTATAAAGTTGATGAGGAAGAAACCTGCCTAGGGCCATTATATGTATAGGGTCTGCATGATCTCACCATGTTTCTGTCGGTTTTCTCTAGGTACTCTGGTTTCTACCTACATCCCAAAAATATGCACGTTTGGTGAACTGGCTGTCTACACAGTCCCACTGTGAGAATGAGTGAGAGTGTGTGTGTGTGTGTGTGTGTGTGTGTGTGTGAATGTGCCTCAGAGTAGAATGTATCCTGTCCTGAGTCATTTCCCTCTTTGTCCCCTGAGCTGCCCAGAGAAGCTCGAACTGGCCATCACCCTAAACGTGATTATTTACCTTATCTTAACCACATTTCTAGCACTCAACCTTACAAGCACAACCCTGTCACTATCTCACGACTGAAACAAATTAACATGGTTGACACCTGTAATTCCACTAATTCTATCCCTAGGAGGTTTACCTCCATTAACAGGGTTCCTGCCTAAATGAATCATCATCCAAGAATTTACAAAAAACAATAGCCTTATTACCCCAACCATTATAGCTATCATAACCCTACTCAACCTGTACTTTTACATATGCCTAATTTATTCCATCTCGGTGACGCTATTCCCCACATCTGGTAATATGAAAATGACAATTCAAAAACAAAACCCATACTATTCTTCCCACTACGTATTATTTCTTCTACCCTCCTCCTACCTATGTCTCCATTAATACTAACTATAACTAAGAAATTAAGGTTACATAAGACCAAGGGCCTTCAAAGCCCTTAGTAAGTAAATTACACTTAATTTCTGTAACAGCCCTAAGTACTGCAAGACTCTATTCTGCATCAATTGAACGCAAGTGAACTACTTTAAGCTAACCCTTTGCTAGATTGATGGAAGTTAAACCCATGAAAATTTAGTTAACAGCTAAACACCCTAATTAACTGGCTGCCCAAGGGAATGCTTTCTAACTCCCCTGCTTCAGAGCACTGAAGAGAACAGCACCCCAGTTTTGAAGCTGCTGAAAACAGAGGCAAGCAGCATATTAGAGCTGCAGTTTCACAGGGAGATGCCAGGAGGAAGATACCAGAAAAGATCTGAGATGATTGGTGAAGGCCTTTCCCTGCACAAAGCCAGTACACAAAGACTAAGAGAGGTGGTGGTTTTTTCAAATGCCCAAACTTCAACCATACATACTTCTTCTCACAAGGTATAATAATAAGAAACTGGGAAACATGGTCCAAATGTGTAAAACAAAACAAAACAATAAATCTCCAGAAATCAACATTAAGAAATGTAGATCTAGGAGCTGTCTAACAAAGAACTTAAAATAACTATCATTAAGATGTTCACAGAAACAATGCCGCATATCTACAACTATCTGATCTTTGACAAACCTGACAAAAACAAGAAATGGGGAAAGGATTTCCTATTTAATAAATGATGCTGGGAAAACTGGCTAGCCATATGGAGAAAGCTGAAACTGGATCCCTTCCTTACACCTTATACAAAAATTAATTCAAGATGGATTAAAGACTTACATGTTAGACCTAAAACCATAAAAACCCTAGAAGAAAACCTAGGCGATACCATTCATTACCTAGGCGTGGGCAAGGACTTCATGGCTAAAACACCAAAAGCAATGGCAACAAAAGCTAAAATTGACAAATGGGATCTAATTAAACTAAAGAGCTTCTGCACAGCAAAAGAAACTACCATCAGAGTGAACAGGCAACCTAAAGAATGGGAGAAAATTTTTGCAATCTACTCATCTGACAAAGAGCTAATATCCAGAATCTACAATGAACTCAAACAAATTTACAAGAGAAAAACAACCCCATCAAAAAGTGGGTGAAGGATATGAACAGACACTTCTCAAAAGAAGACATTTATGCAGCCAAAAGACACATGAAAAAATGCTCATCATCACTGGCCATCAGAGAAATGCAAATCAAAACCACAATGAGATACCATCTCACACCAGTTAGAATGGCAATCATTAAAAAGTCAAGAAGCAACAGGTGCTGGAGAGGATGTGAAGAAATAGGAATGCTTTTACATTGTTGGTGGGACTATAAACTAGTTCAACCATTGTGGAAGTCAGTGTGGCAATTCCTCAGGGATCTAGAACTAGAAATACCATTTGACCCAGCAATCCCATTACTGGGTATATACCCAAAGGATTATAAAACATGCTGCTATAAAGACACATGCACACGTATGTTTATTGCGGCACTATTCACAATAGCAAAGACTTGGAACCATCCCAAATGTCCAACAATGATAGACTGGATTAAGAAAATGTGGCACATATACACCATGGAATACTATGCAGCCATAAAAAAGCAGTGGAAAGTATAATGGTGGTGACAAGGACAAGACTAAGGGAGAAAGGAAGTTTGCTGTTTAATGGGTATACAGTTTCAGATTTGCAAGATGAAAAAAATTTGGAGATCTCTTTTAAAACAATAAAGATACTAAGCATTATTAAGCTGTACACTTAAAAATAGTTAAGATGGTAAACTTTATTATGGGTTTTTTAACCACAAAAAGTTACATATGTTCGATGCTATTCATTACTGTTGCTTTATAGAAAATGTTGGAAAGGTATCCCATGAGTCCTCCAGTTTTGTACTCTTTTTTAAATTATACCTTTATTCTGATATAATTGTATATTTGCACGCAGTGGTAAGAAACAATACAAAGAGATTCTGTGTATCCTTTACAGTTTCCCCCAATGGTAGCATCTAGCAAAACTGTAGTGCAATATCACGAGCAGGATATTTTCATTAATTCTGTGAAGATACAGAACATTTCCATTACCACAAGGATCCTTCTTGTTACCCTGTTGGTTTTGTTTTGTTTTGTTTTGTTTTTAATTTTTATTTTATTATTATACTTTAAGTTTTAGGGTACATGTGCACAATGTGCAGGTTAGTTACATATGTATACATGTGCCATGCTGGTGTGCTGCACCCATTAACTCGTCATTTAGCATTAGGTATATCTCCTAATCCTATCCCTCCCCCCTCCCCCCACCCCACAACAGTCCCCAGAGTGTGATGTTCCCCTTCCTGTGTCCATGTGTTCTCATAGTTCAATTCCCACCTATCAGTGAGAACATGTGGTGTTTGGTTTTTTTGTCCTTGCGATAGTTTACTGAGAATGATGATTTCCAATTTCATCCATGTCCCTACAAAGGACATGAACTCATCATTTTTTATGGCTGCATAGTATTCCATGGTGTATATGTGCCACATTTTCTTAATCCAGTCTATCATTGTTGGACATTTGAGTTGGTTCCAAGTCTTTGCTATTGTGAATAGTGCCACAGTAAACATACGTGTGCATGTGTCTTTATAGCAGCATGATTTATAGTCCTTTGGGTATATACCCAGTAATGGGATGGCTGGGTCAAATGGTATTTCTAGTTCTAGATCCCTGAGGAATCGCCACACTGACTTCCACAATGGTTGAACTAGTTTACAGTCCCACCAACAGTGTAAAAGTGTTCCTGTTTCTCCACATCCTCTCCAGCACCTGTTGTTTCCTGACTTTTTAATGATTGCCATTCTAACTGGTGTGAGATGGTATCTCATTGTGGTTTTGATTTGCATTTCTCTGATGGCCAGTGACGGTGAGCATTTTTTCATGTGTTTTTTGGCTGCATAAATGTCTTCTTTTGAGAAGTGTCTGTTCATGTCTTTTGCCCACTTTTTGATGGGGTTGTTTGTTTTTTTCTTGTAAATTTGTTTGAGTTCATTGTAGATTCTGGATATTAGCCCTTTGTCAGATGAGTAGGTTGTGAAAATTTTCTCCCATTTTGTAGGTTGCCTGTTCACTCTGATGGTAGTTTCTTTTGCTGTGCAGAAGCTCTTTAGTTTAATTAGATCCCATTTGTCAATTTTAGCTTTTGTTGCCATTGCTTTTGGTGTTTTAGCCATGAAGTCCTTGCCCACGCCTAGGTAATGAATGGTATTGCCTAGGTTTTCTTCTAGGGTTTTTATGGTTTTAGGTCTAACATGTAAGTCTTTAATCCATCTTGAATTAATTTTTGTATAAGGTGTAAGGAAGGGATCCAGTTTCAGCTTTCTCCATATGGCTAGCCAGTTTTCCCAGCACCATTTATTAAATAGGAAATCCTTTCCCCATTTCTTGTTTTTGTCAGGTTTGTCAAAGATCAGATAGTTGTAGATGTTTTCATTAATTCTGTGAAGATACAGAACATTTCCATTACCACAAGGATCCTTCATGTTACCCTTTTGTAGGCACACTCACTTCGCTTTTACTTCTTGGCAACCACTAATCTGTTCCCATTTTTATAAATATGTCATTTTGCAAATGTGATACTAGTGGAGTCATACATCATATGACCTTTGGGGATTAGCTTTTTTTCACTCAGTTTAGTTCTCTGGAAACTTACCCAAGTTGTAGTGAGAATTAAATCATTGTTCCTTTTTAACACTGAGTACTGTGCCATGGTATGAATTTACCACAGTTATTTTAACAATTCACCTATCGACATCTGGGTTGTTTCTAGTTCTGGCTCTTATGAATAAAATTAATATACATTCTCATGCTGGTTTTTGTGTAAATGTAAGTGTTCATCTATCTTGGATAAACAAATGCCCCATATTGTTGGGTCTTATAGTAGTTGTATGTTCAATTATTTAAGAAACTGCCAAACAGTTTTCCAGAGTGGCTGTATAATTTTATATTCCCAACAACACATGAGTTAACACGTTCTCTGCATCCTCACCAGCATTTGTTGTCAATATCTTTAATTTAGCCATTCTGATAGGTATATAGTGATATCTCATGGTGGTTTTAGTTTGCATTTGCTGGTGATATCATCATCTTATGTGCTTACTTGCCATCAGTATATCATTTTTAGTGAAATATATCATGTCTTTTGCCCATTTTTAAATAAGATTATTTTTTACTATTGAGTTTTGAGAGTTCTTTATATATTCTGGATACTAGCTATTTGTCAGATATATCATTTGCAAATATTCTGTCCCACTCTGTACTTTGTCTTTTAATTTTTCAAAAGAGGGTCTTTCATAAAGCAAATTCTTGATTTTTGATGAAGTCCAATTTATGTTTTTGTTATAAATTGTGCTTTTTGTTGTAAATCTAAGAACTCTGTTTTGACCTAGATCTTAATTATTCCTTCTGTATTTCCCTAAAAGTTTTAGTGTTAATTTTTTATAAGGTGTGAGATTTAGTTTGAGAGTTTTGAAAGGTGGGTGTGGAGTATAAATGTATAACTCCTCCAGCACCATTTGTTGAAAAGGCTAGCTTTCTTCCATCGAATTGCTTTTTTACCTGTGAAAATCAGTTGGGCATATTTGTATAATTGTATTGATTGGTCATCTAGTCTGTTTTATTGGGCTATGTGAATATATTGATAATATAGTTGATTACTATAGCTATGTAAGGCTTTGAAATCACATAGACACATTCCTTTTATTATTCCAGCTTTCTTAGCTTTAACTGCAAAAAAATCTTGTTGGGTTATTTATAAGAATTAAGTATGCATGCTAATTGAAGAATTGAGATCTTTACTATGCTGAGTCTTCTAATCCATGAACAGAGTACGTCTCTATTATATTGACCTTGAATTTGTTTCATCACTGTTGTGTAATTTTTCCCATTCAAGTCCTGTACATGTTTTATAGATTTACACCTAAGTATTTTAATTTCTTAAATAATTGTAAATAATACGTTAATTTTTGTCTACTTTTCCACTGCCACTATATAGATACAATTGATTTTTGTATGTTTATCTTATACCCTGGGACTCTGTTGAACTCACTCAATTCCAGGAGGGTTTTGTTTTGTTTCTGGTAGATGCCTTGGAATTTTCTACATGGTAAATTATGTCACTGCAAACAGGAATAGTTTTATCCTTCCCGAAAAATGTGCCCTTTCATTTTTCTTTCTTGCCTTATTGCACAGGGTAGACCTACCAGTACTATGTTGAACAAGAGTAGTAAGAATGCACATCTTTGCCTTGTTCTCAGTTCTAGAGGGAAGTTTTCAGTCTTTTAACATTTAGTGTTAGCTATAGGGTTATTGTAGATCCCCTTTATTCAGTTGGAAATTTTACCTCTTTTCTTTTCTGTGAGTTTTTATTATGAATGGGTGATGAATTTTGTCAAATATTTTTCTGACTTCACTGACATTATCATGATTTTTTTTTTAGCCTGTTATATGGTAGGTTACTGTAAAATGTAAAATAGAGGTTCCTCTTCAAAGACTTTCCTCCCTGTCTAATTAGGAATAAATAATAACTTCTCTTAAAAGCAAAATTTATTCATTCAAAGACCTGTGCTAACATTCCTAAATATCTGCTAGCTGTAATAAAGAAATCAATGTACTTTATGTCCTTAGCTCCCTACAATTTAGCGTAAATATTTGCCCTAGCATGCTTATACTGGTCCAAGCAAGCATTAGGTCATAGCCTGTTCCTCTTCCTTATTTAAAAGTGTTTTTATCTCTCTCAGCATTCCACAAGTTACTTCCTCCGTCCTTTGTTCTCCTCTACCTTTACCTCTTTTAGAAAGTTCTAAGTTGCTAGCCAATCGGGACAAATACAGAATGTGAGGTACCATTCCATCCAGTGGAAACTGAACACAGCAGCAGGATGGATGCGTCAAGTTATAAATGACCCTGTCTCCTTTGTTCGGTGTACTCTCCCAGCAAAACTGCTGGAGAATATACCCTTTCTGCAGGAGGTAAAAATGGCCTTACTAAATAAATTTATGTTCAAGTGCTATTTCTTTATGGCACTGGGGAACAAGCATTTCAAACAGTTACATTGATTTATTTTTAAATATTAAACCAGCCTTACATCTATATACATTCTCATTGAAACCATCATGATTTAATGATTTCTTAACTTAGGAGAGGGTCATTTTTAAATACAGAATTTAACTTCCTTAATAGCTGTTCAAATGATCTATTATATATGTTGGGTGAGTTGTGGTAGTGTGTGTTGTTAAAAAGTAGTAGTACATTTCATCTAAACTCTTAAATTTATGTGCATAGAATTGTTCATTGTATTCCCTTATGATGTTCTTGATATCCCCAGGGTCTCTAGTGATAGCTCCTATTTTATTACTGATACTAGTATGTCTTTGATAAAATTTTGTCACACTTATTGACCTATTCAAGGAACAGCTTTGTTTTATTGACTATTTTTTTTCTGTTTCCAATGTCATTGAATTCTGCTAGTAATTATTTTATTCCTCATACTTGCTTTGGGTTTTTATATTTTCTAATATGTATATTTAGTGCTATCATTTCCCTCTCTGCTTCAGGTATGTTACACAAATCTTAGTTACATTTTCATTTGTATTAAATTTAATGCAGCTTTTAACTTTTTTGGAGACTTAGTCTTTGATTCATGGATTATATAAATGTCTGTTTTGTTTTTAAGCATTTGGAGATTTTCCTTTTTCTGTCATTGATTTCTGGTAGTTACATTTCCTTGTGATTGGAGAACACATTTTACATAACTTCAACTATAGATTTTTGAGCTTTTTTATGGCTCAGGGTATCTATTTTAGTACATATTCTAGGGACACTTGAAAAGTACATTTATTTTGTTTTTGGATAGAGTGTTCTATAAATGCTGATGAGATTCTGTTGAATAATAACGTTGAGTTCTTCCATATTCTTGATGATTTTCCGTCTAGTTCTATCCAGTATTGAGACAGCAGTGTTTTAAGTCTCCAAATATATATGTAGATATCTCTATTTCTCATTCCAGTTTTACCACTTTTTGCTTCACATTTTATAGCTCTGTTGCTTATAACTTATTTGTAATTGCTACATCTTTACGGTGGACTGGCTCTTTATTATTATATAATGTCCCTCTCTGTTTCTGGAAGTTCTTGTGGCTCTGAAGTTTACTTTACTTTATCAATAATAATATGGCAATTCATGCTTTCTTTTGATTGGTTGCATGACATATATTTTCCATCTTTTTACTTTAATCTCGCCTATGTAATTTTTTTTGAAATTAGTTTCCTATAAAGCACACAGAGTTGGAGATGTTTTAAAATCGACTTTGGCAATTGTCGTCTTTTAACTGGAACACTTTACACCATTTAGTCAAATTATTGATATATCAGGACATAAGTCTGCCATTTTGTTTTTTGGTGTATTGTATGTCTCCTCTTTCCTGACTTCTTTGGGGTTACACATTTTTTTTAGAATTGTATATTTAGTCACATTGAGTAGATTCCTTTGTATAGTTTTTTTTAGCAGTTCCTTTACGTATACATAATGTATGTGGTCTAACAGTTATTATTTTATAAGTACAAGAGAGTATAGAAACATTACCTCCCTCTGTATCCCTTTACCTTCCTTCATTTATAATGTAACAGTTCTAACTAATTCCTCCACATACTTTTAGAACCACAGACAGTTTTATGGTTCCTGCTTCAATAATCAACTTAGAAAACTCAAGAGAGTCTATTTACTCATATTTTTGCTTGTAATAACCTTCCTTCTTGCTTAAGTTTTCTTTCTGATTAGATAGCTTTCTGAAGGCATTCATTTAGAGTAGATCTACTGGCAACAAATTCTCTTATTTTCCATCATCTAAAAATGTCTTCATTTACCCTTCATTCTGGAGGGATATATCCACTAAGTATATGGTTCTGAGTTGACAATTACTTTATTTCAGCACTTGAAAAATAGTGTGCTTTATCCTTTTGGCCTCCATGCTGATGAGAAATCTGCTGACATTCACATTGTTTTTCCCTTATGGATAAGATATTTATTTTTAGGCTCTGTCATAATGTTTTCTCCATCTTTGTGAAGATTAATTTTGATTTTTCTTGAAGTGGATTTCTTAGGTGTTTTATTTTTTCCTCTTCGATATTTCCTTGTCATACTGAATCTCAGAGTTTTTGCCTCTTACCAAAATGTGATAAACTTTTAGCCATTAAATCTTTGAGTACTTTTTCAATCTTTCCCTCTTTCTTATCTCCTTCTAGAACTCTGGTGATACAAATATCAGATATTATATTATAATCCTAAAGGTCTTTGAGTCTCTGTTCATTTTTTCTAGTTTATTTTCTTGATGTTGTTCAATTAGATAATTTCTATTGTTCTGTATTTTAGTATACTGATTCTTTTCTGTCTCCTCCATTATTAGGCTGTTGAGCCCATTTGCACATCTTTATATTTCATTGGCTATATTTTTTAGTTCTAAAATTTCCCTTTAGTTCTTTATATTGTCTGCATCTTTGTTGAAGCTTTTTTTAGCTGAGGTTTTCTATTTTTCCATGTGTTTCAAGCATGTTCATAATGTCTCATTGAAGCATTTTTTATTATGGCTTCTTTAAAATCTTTGTTGGGCAATTCTAATATCTCTGTCATCTTGGTGTTGACATTTGTCCACAGTCTACTTTCATTTAATTTTAAATTATGATTCTTTTCTTTAGATTTTATTTAATTTCAATAGTTTTTGGTTACAGGGATAAGTTTGAGGTTTAGATGCACTTGTCACCCGAGCAGTATACACTGTACCCACTGTATAGTCCTTTATCCATCTGAATCCCCAAAGTTCATTATATTATTCTAATGCCTTTGCATCGTCATAGCTTAGCTCCCACTTATAAGTGAGTACATACGATGTTTGGTTTTACATTCCCAAGTTACTTTACTTAGAATAACAGTCTCCAACTCTATCCAGGTTGCTGCAAATATTATTTTGTCCTTTTTATGGCCGAGTAGTATTCCATGGTGTGTATATACCACATTTTCTTTATCCACTCTTTAGTCGATGAGCATTCAAGCTGGTGTCATATTTTTGCAATTGCAAATTGTGCTGCTATAAAGATGAGTGAGCAAGTGGTCTTTTCCATATGATGATTTTTTTTTTTCCTTTGGGTAGATACCCACTTAGTGGCATTGCTGAATTGAATGGTAGTGCTACTTTTAGTTCTTTAAGGAATCTTCATACCATTTTCCATAGTGGTTGTACCAGTTTACATTCCCACCAGCAGTGTGAAACTGTTGTCTTTTCACCACATCCATGCCAATATCTATTATTTTTTGTTTTTTTAAATTATGGCCATTCTTGTGGGGGTAATGTGCCAAATTAAAATTGTGGTTTTAATTTGCATGTCACTGATAATTAGTGATGTTGAGCATTTTTTCATAAGTTTGTTAGCTGTTTGCATATCTTCTTTTGAGAACGGTCTATTTATGTCCTTTGCCTACTTTTTGATGAGATTGTTTTTTCCTTGCTAATTTGAGTTCTTTGTAGATTCTAGTACTTTGTCCGATGCTTAGTTTGTGAATATTTTCTCCTGCTGTGTGAGTTGTCGGTTATTTCTTTTGCACTGCAGTAGCTTTTTAGTTAGGTCTCATCTATTATTGTTGCATTTGCTTTTGAGTTCTTGGTCATGAAGTCTTTGCCTAAGCCAATGTCTGGAAGGACTTTTCCCTTCTCCCTCAGGGTGAGGTGAGGTGTTCGCATTTGCAGTGGCCTACTACTATTTGGGAGGGGATCATGCACAGTGTGTTTACTGGAGTTGTACACATGCTCACTTGAGGCGTTCTTCCTTCACTGGTCCTTCCCTTACCAGTCAGATGTCTCTAGGAGTCATATACCAATTAAACTCCACCATTTTGCCTCTTAATGTGCATGTGTGAGCCCCCTCACCACCTCCTGAGATCTTAGCAGGAAGCTGCTGGTCACATTTCAGGTGTTTCTATCTATTGGGAGACTGCCTTTCTCTGGGCACTGGCTGGGACCAATTATTTTAGAGAGACAGTATAACAACTGCCTGACCATCATTTGATGGTCACCTGACATTCCTGGTGGGGAGCCCCCTGCTCATGTCTAACTATCTGTAACATAATGAAACTCTGATTCTTAAACCCCTTGTACCCTAACACAATGTTTATACTTGATAATCTCCAAAAGTTTCATTTCATGAAATTGGGCATATGCACCTGGGGCAGAACCAAGTTGAAGGCATAGTATCTAATGAGATCACTAGGAACTAGGATAAAAATTGTCCTTTATCAGAGTATGTTTTTTAATTGAGCAGAGGGTGTGATTATTTATTCTTTACCTGGTAGCATTTAATCACCTGGCAAGTCAAAATTATTTGACTTTTAACCTCATCTTCAGGTAAGTACTTTTGGTGAAAATCTTAATAAGTAGTTAAATGGCCAAAATCTGTGCAACAAGGAAGAAAAAGAGCCAATTTATAAAACTTTAAGTAACCTAGAATTGGCTGTAACTCAAAAATATAATCTAAGGATCGAAGTTAAATTTTATATAGCTTTCAGCAAAAGAGTATTCTTATTTATAAATATACTTTCTACTTTTGTTCAGTGATAATCTTTCCCACTGAAAAAATCAATGTGTGCTGATTTTTTTTTTTCAGATAATATGGTTCACCAAAGCCTTTGGCATTTTCTATGCTATTTCTTATACCTAAGCTTCCTACTGTTGTCCACCAAATAAATTGGCCCTTCTGTTTATTCTTCTTCAGAATGAATGCTTTATTTCAAGCTAATTTTCACCAACATTTTATTGAACATTTACTTCATGCCAGTCTTCATACCAAGTTACATACATACACAATTTCATTGAAAAGCTTCATGAGATTCTATGAGGTTAGTTTACTATTCTCTTTAATAAATGAAGAAATTAGGCCATCAAGACTTAAGTAACATTCATAAAGCTACATCTCTGATGAGTAAGAGAATGGGGATTCAAATCCAGGTCTCTCTGACTTCAGAAACTGTAGTCACAACCACTAGGTGATGCTATCCCCATTCTTCTGTATGTATGTAGCCTTACATTCTCTACCCCAGGTCTCATTCAAACTTTAAGCTATGTAACTTTTACTCTACATGTTTTTATTGCACTGCCATTTGAATATTTCATTTTCAAACTTCTCTATAGCTTTTTTTCCCTCATTTTATTTCCCATATTTCTGAGCCCTTTAAAAACAAATTATGTCTATGCATTTCTCATTGGCCTATTATAAGGCTCACCATGCAAGACCTGCTGCCACCACTACTGGCACCTGCACACACTTCCCAGGGGCCCATGGACTCGCTGATCCATGGCCTATCACTGCCACTTCTGGCAACCCTACCCCATCCTGTAGCAGAGGGGCTGTACACCTACATATTCCCCCCAGAAGCCACAAAACCAGCCTTTTCTGCATTCTTATTCCAAGGAAAGCCATGCCACAGCCTTCACAAACAACAGTAGCCTAGGCCACTGAGAGACTCACAGACAACACTCACATTCATTACAGCCCAAGAAATTCAGAGACTGTATCACTGTGCCCAGCAAGAAACAAAACCAAAGCACCCTACCCAACTGACACTTACAGATACATCAAAAGGAAAAAGTAATTTCCTACAAAAGCTCCTCTATACAATTGGAAGACATAACTGTTTTATCAAATGCATAAAGCAAGAAAACATGACACCTTCAAAGGAACACAATAATTCTTTAGTAGTTGACCCAAATGAAAAAAAGTTATGAAATACCTGAAGAAGATTCAAAATAAGGATTTTAAGGAAATCCAGCAGGAAGCAAGAGAACATAGATGGATAGCTTAATAAAATTAGGAAAACATTTTATGATCTGAATGAGAAATTGAATCAATTAATACAAATATAATTGAAACCTTCAACAATAGACTAGATCAAGTAGATAAAAGAATTTTTGAACTTGAAGAAAAATCTCTGGAAATAACCCAGTCAGATGAATAAAAAGGTATGGAGAAAGTCTATGTGATGTATGGGAAACCATTAAGTGAAAAAAAAAGTTGCATTTTAAGAGTTCCAGAAGAAGATATGAGAAATGACATAGAAAACATAATGAAATTATAGGTGAAAATTTCCCAAGTCTTGGAAGCAATATAGACATCCAGATAAAGGAAGCTCAAAGATCCATAAGTAGGGTCAATTCAAAAAGGTCCTCTTTGAGATGTGTTACAGTCAAACGTAAAGCAGAATTCTAAAAAACACCAAGAGAAAAGCATCAAGTCACATATAATGGAATCCCCATCAGACTCACGAAGGTTTTCTCAGCAGAAACAAATGGGACAATATATTTTAATTGCAAAGAGAAAAATAACTGCCAGGCAACAATACCATATTTAGCAAAGCAATCTTTCAGGAAAAAAGAAGACAAAGTCTGTCCCAGACAAGCAAAATTGAAGGAATTTATCGCCACTAGACCAACCCTACAAGAAAATTTTAAAATAGTCCTATATGTAGAAGTGAAGAGACCATATCTACCGTTATGAAAATAAACCAAAGTATAAAACTCACTTGTAGAGCAGATACATAAATGACAAAAAAGAATCAAAAGTTTTCACTATTGAAAAACCACAAGGATAAACTATAAGACAAAGGAATAAATTTTTAAAAGAACCAGAAAACTATTAACAAAATGATAGGAGTAAGTCCTTGCCTGTCAATAACAATTTTGGCTACAGATGGTATACATTTCTCAATGAAAAGATATAGATTGGATAAATGGATAAGAAACAGCCATCTATATGTTGTCTACAAGAAACTCATTTCACCTATAAAGACACATATAGACTGAAAGTGAAGGAATAGAATATTACATGCAAATGAAAACCAAAAACATGTAGGTGTAGCTATACTTACATCAGACAAAATATACTTTAAGTTTAAAAACACAGGCCAGGTGCGGTGGCTCATGCCTGTAATCCCAGCACTTTGGGAGGCCAAGACAGGTGGATCATGAGGTCAGAAGATCAAGACCATCCTGGTTAACATGGTGAAACCCCATCTCTACTAAAAATACAAAAAATAAAAAAAATTAGCCGGGTGTGGTGGCAGGCATCTGTAGCCCCAGCTACTTAGGAGGATGAGGTGGAAGAATGGCGTGAACCCAGGAGGCGGAGCTTGCAGTGGGCTGAGATCGCACCACTGCACTCCACTCCAGCCTGGGCGACAGAGTGAGACTCCATCTTAAAAAAAAAAAAAAAACACACACACACACACTCACACACACACACAAAGAATGTCATCATTATATAATGATAAAAAGATAAATTCAGCAAGAGGATACCGCAGTTGTAAATATATATACACCTAACACTAGAGCAGCCCAACAAGAAGCAACAAGATTGAATGAGTAATAAATATTTCCCAACAAAGAAAATTACATGACCTGATGGCTTCACTGCTGAAATATAGCAGAAAACTGAAACTGGACCCCTTCCTTATACCTTATACAAAAATTAACTCAAGATGGATTAAAGACTTAAATGTAAGACCTAAAACCATAAAAACCCTAGAAGAAAACCTAGGCAATACCATTCAGGACATAGGCATGGGCAAAGACTTCATGACTAAAACACCAAAAACAATGGCAACAAAAGCCAAAATAGACAAATGGGATCTAATTAAACTAAAGAGCATCTGCACAGCAAAATAAACTATCATCAGAGTGAACAGGCAACCTACAGAATGTGAGAAAATGTTTTCAGTCTATCCATCTGACAAAGGGCTAATATCCAGAATCTACCAAGAACTTAAACAAATTTACAAGAATTTACAAGAAAACAAACAACCCCATCAAAAAGTGGGCAAAGGATATGAACAGACACTTCTCAAAAGAAGACATTTATGCAGCCAACAGAAATATGAAAAAAAGGTAATCATCACTGGTCATTGGAGAAATGCAAATCAAAACCACAGTGAGATACCATCTCATGCCAGTTAGAATGGTGATTATTAAAAAGTTAGGAAACAACTGATGCTGGAGAGTATGTAGAGAAATAGGAACACTTTTTTACACTGTTGGTAGGAGTGTAAATTCATTTGGCTATTGTGGAATACAGTGTGTCAATTCCTCAAGGATCTAGAACCAGATATACCATTTGACCCAGCAATCCCATTACTGGGTATATGCCCAAAGGATTATAAATCATTCTATAAAGACACATGCACACACATGTTTATTGCAACACTATTCACAATAGCAAAGACTTGGAACCAACCCAAATGCCCATCAATGATAGACTGGATAAAGAAAATGTGGCACATATACACCATGGAATACTACACAGACATAAAAAAGGAAAAGATCATGTTCTTTTGCAGGGACATGGATGAAGCTGGAAACTGTCATTCTCAGCAGACTAACAAAGGAACAGAAAACCAAATACCACATGTTCTCACTCATAAGTGGGAGTTGAACAAGGAGAACACATGGACACAGGGCACAGGGAGGGGAACATCACACACTGGGTCCTGTCACGGGGTGGGGGTCTTGGGGAGGGATAGCATTAGGAGAAATACCTAATGTAGATGACGGGTTGATGGGTGCAGCAAACCACCCTGTCATGTGTATACCTATGTAACAAACCTGCACATTCTGTACATGTATCCCAGAACTTAAGAAAGAAAAAAACTAGATGAGGACAACAAAAACAACAATAACTACAGGCTAATATCTCTGATAAACATAGGTGCAAAAACCCTGAACAAAATACTAGCAAGCCAAATCCAACCGCATCACAAAGATAATACAGCGTGATCAAGCAGGATTTATCCCAGAGCTGGAAAGGTAGTTCAAAATACCTGTATCTATAAAAGTGATGCATCATATCAATAGAACGAAGAAAACTATATAACCATCTACATAGACACAGAAAAGGCATTTGGTAAAATTCAACATCCCTATATAAGAAAAACAATCCACAAATTTGCCATAGATGGAACAAACCTCAACATAAAAAAAGGCCATATGTGACAAACCCACAGCTAACCTAATACTGAATGGGAAAAAGCTGAAGGCTTTTTCTCTAACAACCAGAACAAGACAAGGATGCCTACTTTCACCATTCCTACTCACTGTATTATAGGAATTCTTAGCCAGAGCAATTAGACAAGAAAAAGAAATAAAGGGCATTCAAATTGGAAAAGAGGAAGTCAAATTGTCCTTCTTTATAGATGACATGATCTTATATGTCGAAACACCTAAAGACTCCCCAAAAAAACTCTTAGAACTGATAATTCAATAAAGTTACAGGATCCAAAATCAACATACAGCCTGGCCAATGGGGCAAAACCCCATCTCTACTAAAAATAAAAAAAAAAATCGCCAGGCATGGTGGTGCATGCCTGTAGTCCCAGCTACTCGGGAGGCTGAGGCACAAGAACTGCTTGAACCCGGGCAGCAGAGGTTGCAGTGAGCCGAGACCACACCACTGCACTCTAGCCTGGGAGACAGAGCAAGACTCCATCTGAAAAAAAAAAAAAAAAAAAATCAGTACTGTTTCTATATTCCTATAACATAATAGCTGAAAAAGAAATTAATAGAGCAATCCTGTTTATAATAGCTAAAGAGACAAAAAAATCAAGGAGGTAAGAAATCTCTACAAGGAAAACTCAAAAACACTGATAAAAGAAATTAAAGAGGTCACACATGCACAAATAGGAAGACATTCCACGCTCATGGATTATAAGAATATTGTTAAAATAACCACATTTCCCAAAGGAATCTATGGATTCAGTGCATTCCTATCAAAATATCAATGACATCATTTACAGAAACAGAAAACACAATCCTAAAATTTGTATGGAACCACAAAAGGCCCTGATGAGCCACAGCAATCCTGAGCAAAAAGAACAAAGCTGGAAGTGTCACACCATCTGAGTTCAAAATATACTATGAGGCTATAGTAACCAAAACAGCATGGGACTGATATAAAAAAGGACATATAGACAAATGGAACACAGAACTCAGAAATAAATCCCTATACTTAGAGCCAACTGAATTTTGACAAAGATATCAAGAACTTACATTGGAGAAAGGAAACTATCTTCAATAAATGGTGCTGGGAAAACTGGATACCCATATGCAGAAGAATACTAGACTCCTATCTCTCACCATTTACAAAAATAAACTCAAAATGATTAAAGACTTAAATGTATCACTGAAAATTAGGCAGTAGGCTAGGCATTGATTTTATGGCTAAGACTTCAGAAACACAGGCAACAAAAGCAAAAATAGACAAATGGAATGATGTCAAACCAAGGTTTCTGCATAGCAAACAGTTAACGAAGTGAAGAGACAACCTGTAGAATGGGAGAAAATATTTGCAAACATTATCCAGCCAGGAACTAATATTCAGATTATAAAAGGAACTCAACAGCAACAAAATCAAATAATATGATTTTAAAATGGGCAAAAGAGCTGAATAGACATTTCCCAAATAAGACATACAAATTGTCAAGAAGTAAATGAAAAAAAAATGCACAACATCACTAATCATAAGGGAAATGCAAATCAAAACCACACAATGAGGTATCATCTCACTCCAGTTAGAATGGCTATGATCAAAAAGACAAAAAAAAAAAATGCTCATGAGGATTCAGAGAAAGGAAGCTCTTATATATTGTTGTTGGAAATGTATCAGTACAGCCATTATGAGAAACAGTATGGAAGTTCCTCAAAGAACCAAAAACAGAACTACCTTATGATCCAGCAATCCCACTGCTGGTTATTTATCCAAAGGTAAGGAAATCAATATATCTAAGGTATGTCTCAACCTCCTTGTTTCATTGCAACACTATTCACAATGGAAACTATATTAAATCAAGCTACCTGTCCATCAACAGGTGGGTGGACAAAAAAAATGTGGTACATGTACACATGGATGAGCCTGGAGGACATTATGTTAAGTGAAATAAGCACAGAAAGATAAATATTTCACATTCTCACTCACATGTGGAAGCTAAAAAATGTTGAGCTTATCGAAATATAATTATGGTTGTCAGAAGCTTGGAAGGGGAGGGGACGATAGAAAAGGTTGGTTAGTAGATATAAAATTACAGCTAGATAGGAGGAATAAGTTCTAGTGTTCTACAGCACTGTGGGATGACTATAGTTAACAATAGTTTTGTGTATTTTCAGATAGTTACAAGATAGGATTTTGAATGCTCCCAACACGAAGAAAGAATAAATGTTTCATGTGATGGATATGCAATTACCTTGATTTGATCATTACACATTTTATACATGTATCAAAATATCACTGTATCACATAAATATGTACATTATGTGTCAACTAAAAATAATTAAGGCTCACAACTCCAGGAAGTTCCACAGGAGTTCCGCTAGAAAGCAGAGCTTCCACACTACTGTGGATATTCTTTGAAAGCCTCAGAACTCTCCAGGAATTGAGAGGTTTTCTTAGATATGGTCCTAGATAAGATTTTCAGGGATACCCCAGTAAGAAACAAAGCCTTCAAATGATGCTGTTTGTGATGCGGTGGCAGGCCTGGGTATATCCAAAGACATTTCTCTAAAATTTTGAGAGATTTTCTCCCCTGACATACATCTCTTGTTAGCAAAAGACATTGCATTGAATTCTTACTTGAGGACATAGATGGCCTTGGGGACCATCTGTTCAAAGTTTTCTGGATTTCATGCCAACTTGTGTGAAATCCAAAACAAGCACTGTGTCTACCAAAGGTAAATCATTAAGCCTGGAACAGCCAGCAGGAGACCTGAATTCTTTTCTTGGCTACTTTCAAAAATAGTTGACTATACCACAGGCAATTTTTTTTCAGCACCCTGCAATTCAGAACCTCATGTCAAAAAGCACATTACTTTTGGCAATTAACTGATTTCACATTATAATGCAATTCAAAATTTATTATAGTCAAGTATTCTGGTTATGTCAGTGGTGGTAACTGATAAGCTATGTTATCTATTCTTTTTAAAGATGGGGTTGTGCTATGTTGCTCAAACTGGAGTGCAGTGGCTATTCATAGGCATGATCAAAGCACACTATAGCCTCAAACTCCTAGGCTCAAAGGATCCTCCTACCCTAGCCTCCTGAGTTACTGGGGCTACAGACATGTGTCACCATGCCTGGCTAAGCCATGTTATCTCAAATGGACATTTTCACATTACTACACCAGTAATCCACTAATTGTGCCATTTGTCAGTCATGGAGAAGCTGCTGTGTGTGTGTGGACTTAGACCACCCACTGTTTGAGGCACAGGGCAGCTTTTATTTTCTTTTTGCAGACAAATTTCTCTAGCCAGACTGGACTTTGGCCAAGGAGGCACTGTCTAGTGTCTTCCCTGCATAAAATTCTTGTATTTTTGATGTGAAGTAGTCTTTGTGCTGCTATCATCACTGTGATACTGATGGAGGTCAGAGGGGATGGACAGCTTGTGGACTGAGAGCCACAGAAGGCTGTCCTTTAACACAAGCTCCTTCATTCTGCCAAGCAGACCTCCGTAGGGAGTTGCTAGGCCATCCAAGGTTCAGCTGTACTGACATGGAACTGGAAACTGGACAAGAAATGGAAATATACTGTGACTTCCTCTCTCTTCTTCTTCTATGTTTGCCAAATAGCAGTTTAGCTTTGATATCAGGAACACAAATGAGGCTGAGGGAAAGAGGAGGTGTTTGTGGGTCTTTGTCCTCATTTTTCCATTCCTACTCACCTTCAGCCACTGCCATAGTTCCATGGAACATCTGTTTCCAGGTAACCTGACAGAACATGGGAATAGCACCTTTGGAGTTCATCTGTTTGGGGCCCCTCTGAAATGTTTCCACAGAGTCACATCTTTTTTTCCAACAAAATGTTTTTCCTTCCTAATTTACTTCTCCCTTCAGTTTGCTATTGGAACCAGGGACAATGATAATTTCGTTGAAATTGAATCAATTGGAAAGCACTGGAAAGAAGTGTGGTTTAAAATCTCAGGTTGGGTTTCTTGGAATTCTGAGCCAAGTCCCTTTCCCAGTTGCTCACAGGAAGTTTCGACTGATGTCATTGGAGAGAGTGTGTGTGTCTCTGTGTGTGTGTGTATGTTTACATCACAGTACAGCCTTAAGGATGCAGAAAAAATCCTTTCTTTCAGTTCATGTCTAATGACTGTATCACTCTTCATGCCTAGCTAATATTTGAAACCTCATGATGCTGACGAACCAGGCAACCATTCCTGTCTCAGATTGAGAGTCCCATTAAAGAGTAGCCATTTATGGGGGAAATCAGAGATTTTTGTTTCACTCAATGTTTCACAGACATAAACCTTTCCAAAATTCTCCTTCCCACTTCGAAGATGCATATTTAGATCAAGATGATACTCGATATTAATTCAGAAGAAATTATTTATTCATGCCTTACAGTTTTTCACTTCAAGTTCTAAGAGAAATTGATAGTCACTCTCATCTAAGGAGACAAAAATTATTTGTCATATGACAAAAACAGCACTTGATGTGTTAAAAGGGGCCAAACCATGTGCAGTGAGCACAATCCCACGATGCTGCATCAAGTTTCTGGTAGAGGAGCATTATGCTGGTAATGCAACATTTGTGGCTTGGCTGAAATCCACAGGCACCGTGCACCTGAACAACAAGGCACTCTTCATTTCACTTCCTTTCCTTTAACCAAGTTCAACTCCATTTTGCTTCACCCCAAACAAACTAGTATTTTATGACAGGAAAATATACAAAGGTCCATGTTTTTCTAACTTCTTCTGAGCCCCTTTTCACAGCCTGTCCTTTACTTTGCCTTCTTTTGACACAACAGTGGTAAATTATCCAAATAATGTCTTCAAGGATGTGATGAGAGACCGTGTTTAAGGGAAGCAAATCAGTATGATCTGTCTCTATCATATACTCTAGTTCTTTTCTTCTTCCTTTTGTCTGTTTTCCTTGGGGAAAATTAAACTATTTTCTTCCTGGGCTCACTTTTGTATTTTCCATACAATGTTTGGCAGGCTCCCCAATGACTTTCCTTTTCCCATCCAGACAAGATAGAGACTAATTCCAAAGCTGTGGCCCTGCTTTTCATCCTTTAAATGCAGTGTGAAACATAGGACTGATCCTCTAAATTTAATGACTGCTCTTGTTGGATTAAAAAAATCTAATTCGACAGTATTGGCCCTTAGCTTGCCACGAACCTTTCTCACTCCCCGTGGTCCTCTGTAGTTTCTGAAGTATTGGCTTCTGCTTCCTCCCACCACCAAAAACTATCCCACAAAATTTTAAAAGCCTGAGCAGCTTCCTAGTTCAAAACCAGTCATAAAACCCAGTATTCAGAGTTGTGCTTCTAGTTGGACAATGTGTGGCTTTTGAACTCTGATTTACATCCAGATTTTAGTGCATATTAACCATTGTTTTTCTCTGTCTTACATGGTAGGGTTTTTTGTAGAGTGTATCCAACTCAATCTTGCTGGTTTCCCTCCCACCCTCCTTTCCTTTAACCAACAAATTTCCCCAGTCCCCAGATACATAAAATTGGGAACTTGCTCATTGATCAGAAAATCAGTACTTGCTTCATAGTTTCTCTCTCTCATTTTAGAAGACTTTGATTTCCTCTTCTGGCATCTTTCTATCTCCTCACTCTATGTCAACAGAGGTGAACCTAGAGTAGAATATAAGGAGTTTCCAGTGTCTGGTCAAGATTTTTTCCAGGACTGGTCATTTTCCTGGCATTACCAACCACCTCAGGAGGCAGTGGCTCCTTAATTCTGGGCTGTGAAAAAGATATGCTCCATGAATGCAGGAATTTTATCTGCTTTCCTTATAGCATGTAGAACAGTGCCTGGCACCTAGTAGGTTCTTAATAAACATTATATGAATTAATGCATACAATCCTGATGAATTGGAGAGTTTTTAATTCAAATAATAGTTCATCATTTTTAAGATATATCATGAAAATATCTGAAGGCGTTTTCATGCTTCAATATTTGATATTTTAAGTGTTCCCATTTTCACCATGAACTCAGATTAAAAACAAACAAATGTATTTCGGCTCAGTCAGGTGAGGAACAGATACTTCTGGAAGAGCCTTTATGATGGCTGCCCAAGGACATTCCTAAGTTTTACTTAAACATGTGTTGGCTGGAGATGGCAGTACTGGTAAAACTATATTTGGGAAATGTTAATGTCATTTGAATGGTGAATTTGAGAAGCATATAGTCACTTTAGTTATTGAGGTCCATCACCTGTGTTTCCTACCAACACTAGACCTTTTAAATTCAATGTACCAAACATACACTTGGTGGCCTGATAAATGGCTGTTGTATCCAAGTCCAGTGTACCATTATCATGTCTGATATAACATCAAGACTTATAAGTATGTATCTAATTGGCACTGAGGTCAGATGGCAGTATATGGAAACATCCCATCACATTGTGTGGCAATGCAATGACACCGGAGTTAGGCATGTTAGATATGAGTTCTAAATTTCTCTTCAAAGAATCAATATGTCAGTAGGTTCAATTCTTTGCCTTCTACTTTTAAACTTAACTTCCTCATAAAGCAACCTTTTCTGATTACCTGCTCCATCCTGACTCATTCCGATTTCCTGCTCTGCCATAACCATTTTTCCCACCAAACCACTCACCCCGTCACTATCTTCAAATTAGTCAGCCGGAATTAGTTTAGCCTGTGCTGTCTAACCTTAGCCAACAGGGGAACTACACAGCAGCAGGGGCCACGTGCATCAGGAATAAGACCCCCTTTTCGAAACTCCCTTGTCCAGGTGTGCATTCACCATTGCTCCATCTGTGAGGTTGCACCCTTCTATAGAAGTAAACTGCCTTGCTGAGAAGAAAAAAAAGAAAATTTTCTATTCGAGTGCTATTTCTTCTGTGGCACCAAAAACTTTATTTATAACAGGCAGATAGTGAGGGTACAGAAGTGCTTAGTAAGGTTTTCCTTTTAATGAAGAGCAGCCCCAAATCATTTTTCTTTCTAACAAAGAGCAGCCTGTAAAATGGAGCTGTAGACATAGATGCTGGCAGTTGTGCCAACCGTGTTCAAAATGGCAGCTCCATCTTGCATTCTCCACCAGCTACCTGTACAGTAAGGAGCAGACAAGATGGCTCTGGCCAAGGGGAAAGTTCATTTGCATAATAAGATTAGGGTGAGGCAGCCAGCCTTCCCCAGTGCCCTATGTAAACGTCATACCTGATTAAACCAATTTCTGAGCCCTAAGTAAATCAAACACTGCCTCCCCAAGCCAGACTATAAAATCTGGTGCATCCACCACCAGCAGGCTGCCTTTTACCCTCGGAACTCCCCTCTCTGTCACTAGAGAGCTATTTTCCTTTCTCTTGCCTATTAAACCTCTGCTCCTAAATTTTCCTGGCACAAGATGATGAAACCTGGGTATTTATCATAGACAATGTAGCTGCTTCAGTAATGGATAGTAAAGACAGGAAAATTAAGGCAAAATTTATTGTCTTCCAGTGAAACAAATATCACTAGTGCTACGACATTTCTGCCAGAAGCAATGGCAACTTTGAAAGACCTTTTCATTGGCTTGCTGGAAAACTAACTGACAATGCTTACCAGAAGTGCCTTGCTGTGTTTGTTCTGGTCCTACCAGAGGTTGCCATGGATCTACCTCTGGAAACTCATGAAGCACATGACTTAGTGTGGCTCTGACAACTGTTCTCCTGAGGGGAATGATACCCTGCAAGAGAAGGTGAAGTCAGAAGCCTACTTTCATAGGTGCTTGTTCTCTGATGTCTGAGATGCAGCGTTCTCTGATGTCTGAGATCCCATTTTATTATATGGCCAACCAGACTGTGAGCTCAAACTTTGGGATGCTAAAGGGAATGAATGTGGCAGTTTAAAAAAAAATACCTTTATATTTTAGACCTCCATATTTGGCTGCTTAGATCCCAGTTGTTTCCTTCCTGAGTTTCAAATGTAAGAATGCTATAGTCACAACACACTCAGACACAAAATCACTGGGTTTCGATTTTTCTTCTGGAATTGGGACATACATGAGTGAATAAAATATCCCTGGGAAAAACTCTAAATATCCAACAAACTAGTAAATCAAGATATAACAACACATTATTAAAAATTTAAAATATATAAAAAATACTGTAGTAAACTGATAAAAAGCAGAATACAAATTAAATATACATATAGTCACAATTATAGTTCAAAATTAAAAAATAAGCCAGGCACAGTGGCTCATGTCTGTAATCCCAGCACTTAAACCTAATGGGAAATACGTTTTAAACAGTTAACATGGGATTATAAGTAGTTTTCTTCTTCTTCTGTGCATGTGTGTATTTAATTTGATAACATTTTATTGTAATGGAGGAAAAGTAAACTGAATTGACTAAAAATCATCAAGCATTAAAAATTCCTTGAAAATTAAAGGAAGCATAAAAATAGCCTATGATCATTAGATTACTGGCAAATATTTATAAAATAAGACATTGATGTATCACTTATCTACATTATGAAAAACAATTACATGACAAACGCATCATTTTAAGATGATTCTGTATCAATAGGATTTCAAAATATGGCTTCCAGTACTTCCCAAAACTTTCAAGATCATCAAAAACAAAGAAAGTCTGAGAAACTCTCACAGTTTCAAAGCAACACAATTGTGCAATACCGTTCCTATCCTCTTTTGGTTTATTTCTCTAATAAGAGCCAGTTATTTCTGTGTCTTTGGCCATAGCTGTATAAAGCTAATTAATAATTTTGGTGGATGTATTTACTATTCTAACCCTCCTCCCCCAAATATTTTCTCAGTCTGAATTAAGGCAATTATTTTATTGGAAAAAAATAGTTCTAATAGCTGGCTCAGTGTCCCTGGCCTGATTATTGTGATTATAAGCTATTTACTGAAATTAAATGCTATTGGCTACATGCTGGCTGTGTTACACAGTGTTCAAACTTTTTGTCTTCTATTTGCATCTATTTTTGCAAGAGAAAAGAATTATTCTAGTCTATATTTAAAAACTAATCCAATAGATTTTCTGCAAAGCTCTCTTCAGTACATAAATTTTAAAAATCTCTATCCTTTTTTCCTACACTGTTTTTCCTTCCATTCACTCATTTATTCCACAGGTATTTTTATTTTAGAGCAGTTTGAAATTTACAGGAAAAAATTGCAGTTGATAGAGTTCCCACATATCCTACAGCCAATTTTCTCTATTATTGGCATCTTACATTAGTATGGTGTATTAGTTATAATTAATAAATTAATGCTGATAAATTATTAACTAAAGTTTATACCTAATGCCTATTTATTTAGTTTTTTTTTAAACAAAATATCCTTTTTCTATTCCAGGATCCCAACTACAATACGACGTTGCATTTAATCATAATATCTCCTTAGGTTCCTCTTGGCTGTGACAGTTTCTCAGACTTCCCTTGTTTTTGATGATCTTGAAAGTTTTGAGAAGTACTGAACGGGTATTTTGTAGAATTTTCCTCCCTTGGGATTTATCTGATTTTTTTTTTTTATGTTCTAACTAGACTGTGGTTGTGTGTTTTCAGGGGGAATATCACAGAAGTGAAGTGCAATTCTCATCATGTCATATCAAGAGCACACACTAACAAACAACATGACTTATTGCTGAATATTGAACTTGATCACCTGGCTGAGGTAGTGTTTGCCAGATTTCTCTGTAAAGGTACTGTTTTTACCTCCATTCTATATTGTACTCCTTCAAAAGAAATCGCCAACCACAGTTCATACTTAAGGGGTGGGGAGGTTATGATCTATTTATTTGAGGACAGAACATCTCCATAAATTATTTGGATTCTTCTGCATGGAAGATTTGTCTACTCTCACCAATTTACTAATTCATTCAACTATTTATATCCGTATGGACTCATGGATATTTATTTTATACTTTGGGTTATAATCTAATACCACTTTACTTATTTTGTTGCTCAAATTGCTGTGGCTTTGGCCACTGGGGGCTCTTTCAGTTGATTCTCATGTTTGTTTGATATGCCCTCATGCATGTGGAGTTGTTGTATTTTATTTGAGCACTGCCTTATTTTTTTGGTACTAAAGGATGTTCCAGGATCATCACAGATATATTCTGCCCCAGTCTTAGAATCAGCCCATTTTCCAAGGAACCCTAACTCCATTTATTCGAGAAAGGTATTAAAACCTGAATATGGGTGCTAGATGTGCTTGTTATTCCTGGGGTGTTGTTGCTTCCAGACCCTTTCAGTTGAGAGAGCAAGGAAATCTATGTGTATATAAACATATTTATAAATATTTCTATATGTAACTGTATGTTATGCTGAACGTGAGTTTATAAAGGTGTTTTCAATTCTAATCTATTAGAATGCTTTTAGTTCTAATCTGGCCTCTTCCCCTTGCTTACCTGTAAACTCTCACCCCAGTAATGAGAAGCCTAGATGTTTCCATTCACCACATATTTACTTAATTGTTCATTTCCAAGATAGATGTGCAGTGGTATCAGAACTGTTATACCTTACACAGGCATTTATTTTTGAGTGGAGTTTTTGATAATCAATTGCCTGAATCTGGGCTAAATATATGTATTTTTTAATCATCTTCATTTGTTAAATTTCATTATCTCTACCTCACAATTTAAACATTCCTATGAGTACAAACATAAAGATTATGTTTGCAACTGGAAAACATAATTTTAACACTCTCTTCCTCTCCTGTTTTAAATATGATGAAACTTGAGTTCAAAGAAGTACATACTCAAGTTCACACATGAGTAACAGTTATAGGGTGATGTCCCTTGATAGATATCTATGTTAAAATGGTAGCACACCAGTTATACCTGATCCACCATCTTTAAATTTCCTTTAAAAGACCATAAAAATACATATTAAAAAATACAATAAAAGAAAAAATATAAATAGAAATTGTGTTGATTGTAGCCCCCAAAAAATCAAAGAAATGCCCTAGACTTTTCTTTACCTATGCAGATAGACCAGAAGAAGATAAGAAAATATTTGGTTTATCTTCTCTGCTCATCCTAACTCTATAATAAAGGAGCATCAGTGTCTAAAAATATTGAGATGTTTACACAGCAATAAAATTATCAATAAAAAGGTTGAAGGCAGTAAAAAATAAATAATTAATGAGATGCCTGAATGCAGAGCATAGGGAGAAAAGACATTGTGACAGAGAAGTTGTTGACATGGAAATTAGAGGATGGATATTTTACCTGTATAAGAAATCAAAACAGGCTGGGCATGGTGGCTCATGCCTGTAATCCCAGTGCTTTGGGAGGCTGAGGTGGGAGGATCACATGAGCCCAGGAGTTGAAGAACAGCCTAGGGAAAATAGTGAGACGCTGTCTCTACAACAACAACAAGCACCAGCTGTGCAAGGTAAGAGGCTGAGGTGGGATGATCATTTGAGCCCAGGATGTCAAGGCTGTAGTGAGCTATGTTCACACCACTGCATTCCAGCCTGGGTGACAGAGCAAGACACTTATGTGTGTCTCAGAAAAAGAAAAATGAATGAAAACAAAGAGAGCAAAGAAAATCACATTTTTCAAGTCCTGAGCAGTGTAACTGAAGTAAAAGATATAGTGACTGGAATTATAATTTACCTAGAAAATAATTGACTACCTGGAAATGCAAACACACACACACACACACAAGGTCCTAGAATGCCTAAGAAAGCAGTGCACCTTACTACAATTACAAAGATACGAAGGTATGATCTTTATTAGTATAATAATAACCAGTTAGAAAGCACAATGGAAAAGTATTCCAGTGCCTATGGTGTTAGGGAACTGCTCACATATTCAAGAGAAATGCACAGATACCAAAGCAGAAAGAACAATAAACAGGAGTCCTCATGGTCAAAAGATTAGAAGACGTAGCTTTCAATGGGAGGAGGTTTTGTACCACAATGCAGCACTTTTCTTCTTTCTGTGCTGCCTTGAGGGAAGGCAGTGGTAATACTAATCGTTAACACATAATGGTTCTTATGAGGTGGACACTGTTGTAAATGCTACGTACATATTAATATACTTAGCCTTACTGTAGACTTAACCCTATAAGTTTAAGAAGCTAGGTGAACCCTACACGGGTTTAACCAAAGAAATCCAAATCAAGACACAATGTAATTAAACTTCTGAAAACTAAAGACAAAGAAAAAATACGGAAAGCAACCGGAATAAAATGATCTTAGATTCCCCTTACCTACAGGGAAAACAAAAACTATTTGTATGACAGCAGATTTCTCTTCAGTTAATACTCATATTATTTTCATTTTGTAGGTGAATAAACTGACACTGGAACATTCAGGAACTTCTTCATGGTCATGGTCACCCAGCTAGAGTGTGGAAGCCAGGCTGTCTGATTCCAGGATCTGTGTTCTTAATCCTATACATAAGGAAGCCATAATGAGTCAACCACTATTTTTAAGATTCACAGATGTTCGGGTCCAATTCACCAGAATGCCAAGTTATACAGGGTTGTGGAATCAAAAACTGCAATTAGTAATAAAATGTGATGCTATCTAGAATGTTTTTCATACATATATATGCTTCTTGGGACTCTCCCTGCAGGTTAAGAGAAATTGAGAAACGATGGAGAATTTAAGTGTTTTAGATCCTACATACATTAGACTTAAAAATAGTAACTATGTACATGAGTATTTGTAAACTTAAGAATGAACATAACATGAACCATGTGGCACCTATAAAATGAAAATAAAATACCTACAAACCAAATGAGAGCAATAAAAGAAGCTTTAAGGACTTTCACTTCAGGGAGTCTGAATTAGATGCGCTTCTTCCCATTCCTCCCTCTAATTACAACAAGCTTGGACGTTACATACAGAACAAACAGAAGGAGTCTCTGAAAGATGAAGAGAAGGCAAGTAAGCTACAGACTTCACAATGTAAGGAATAATATGGTGGTGAGTTACATTTGTGATTTTTTTTTGTCTCATATCCCATAATATCTCATATCTCATAATCAGTTAGAAAGCACAATGGAAAAGTATTCCACTGCCAATGGTGTTAGAGAACTGCTCACAAATTCAACAGAAATGCACAGATACCAAAGCAGAAAGGACAATAAACAAGAGTCTTCATGGTCAAAAGATTAGAAGCTGCAGCTTTCAATGGGAGGGACAGGTTCTGGACCACACTGCAGTGCTTTTCTGCTTTCTGTGCTTTCCCACTCTAGAGCTGAAGAAGGTAACGACCCCAAAATGTCAATATACGTAGACCAAAAACCAGCCCCAATAAAAGTCTGCTCTCTCTAGCCAAAGGACTACAGTAGGGCAGCCCAGCAAGACAGAAAACCTTCAGACAACCTACCCCAGCCAAACACTACCAAAAAAAGTAAAGTGAGCCATCACCCAATCCACATCAGTAAAAACTAAGTGGAAAGTCCAGACTTTCACCTCAAGAGGTTGCGACAAGCTACTCCAATACCCCTGCTGGGATAGTGTCACAGAAGGCTAAATAAGGAGCTGTAATGTTGATTCCCCTCCAGAAGTAAAGAGTCCGTACCTGCTATTTTCAGAGAGACCACATGGAAAGCCTAGATTTCAACACCTACCCAGCATTAATGAGGTATTCCTTCCCTTCTTTACTCTCTGGTGTCAAAGAAGCTCCATGCAGAGTCAGAATGTTTGGCATTACTCCTCAGTAGGGAGGCCACCCCCACCACGGTGTTAGTGGAGACCATGTGAGGACCAGGACTTGTACCCTGCCCAGAAGTAATGAGTAGACCCCCCTCTACAGGAAGGCCAAAGGGCAACCTAAACTTCTACCTCTCTCTGGCAGTAATAAAGTAGGGCCTCACTTTTCCCTGCTGAGCAATGTCAAAAAAAAAAGCCAGCTGAAGTAAAAGCTTATTTCTTTCTTTCTTTATACATATTTTTGGAGACAGGGTCTTATTCTGTCACCCACGCTGGAGTACAGTGGCCTCATCAGGTCTCACTGCAGCCTCAACCTCCTGGGCTCAAGCAATCCTCCCACCTCAGCCTCTTGAGTAGCTGAGACCACAGATGTGCACCACCACACATAGCTAACATTAACATTTTTTCTAGAGATGGGGTCTTCCTGTGTTGCCCAGGCTGGTCTGGAACTCCTGGGCTCAAGTGATCCTCCCACCTTGACCTCCTGGAGGGCTGGGATTACAGGTATGAGTCATCACTCCAGGCTGAAGCTTTATATAATAACCAGAGTCTCATATTACAAAATGTCAAAGATTCAGTCAAAAGTTACTTGATATCAATGGACAAGATCTCAAACTAAATGAAAAAAAGACAATTAATAGATGCTAACACTGAGATAACAAAGTTGTTAGAATCATCTAACAAAGATTTTAAAGCAGCTATAATAAAAGTGCTACTGCAAGTGATTATAAACATGCTTGAGACAAATGAAAAAGTGCTATAAAGCTAAGAAATAAAATATATAAATAAGAATCAAAGAGAAATTATAGAACTAAAAGATACCATAACTGAAATGCAAAGCTCCGTGGATGGACTCAACAACAGAATGGAAAAGACTGAGGAAAGAAGTAGTTTACAGGAAATTAGAATAGACTAGAAAAAATGAACAAGACCCTGTGCTAAAGAGCAAATATTTATGTCATTGGATTCCAGGAAAGAGAAAAGAATGAAAAAGTACTTAAATAATGGCTTAAAAACTTCTCACATTTTGCAAAGATTTAAACCTACAATTTGAGAAGCTGGGTAAACCTTAAACAGGATAAATCAAGGACACTCACACCAAGAAACATAGTAATTAAACTTCTGATTAAGGAAGAAAAAGAAAAATCTGGAAAGCAGCAAGAAAAAAATGACACACTTTCTATATGGTAAAAGCAATTTGAACAACAGAAGATTTCTCATCAGAAACTGTGGGGACCATGAGGAAGTAACAGATATTTTTCAAGTGCTGAAATAAATCAACTGTCAATACAAAATGCTCTACTCAGTGAAAATATCTTTCAGGAATAAAGGGGAAATCAGGACACGCACAGACTTTTTTTAAATTAAGAATTTATTGTCAGCTTATCTCCCTAAAAGAATGGCTAACATTCTCCAAACACGAAGGAAATTGATAAGGAATCTTGAAATTTCAGTTAGAAACAATGAATATGGCAAGCAAAATGTAGGTCAGTACACTAAGTTTAATTTCTCCTCTTGAATTTTCTAAATTATGACTTATGATTGAAGCAAAAATCATAACATTATCTGATGTATATGTAGAGGAAAGATTTAAGACAGTGATGTTATAAATGAGGGGAGTAAAGGAACATGAGATAACCACTAATATGACATACCAATAGACTATGATAAATTATGTGTCTAATGTGATTACTAGAAAAACCAGTTAAAATATAAAGATTGACGGAGTGAATTTAAAAACATGACACACTATATGCTGTTTATCATAAACTCACTTTGAAGATAATGCCATCGTCAGGTTGAAATCAAAAGGAATAAAATAGTGTATTATGTAAACCATCAAAAAGAGCAGGAATGGCCATATTAATAACATTAAAGTCAGCTTCAGAACTAAGGAAATTATCAGAGAGGGACATTATATAATGAAATAGTCGATTTACCAAAAGAACATAGCAATCATAAATGTGCATGAAGCAAACAACAAAGCTGGAAAATATATGAAGTGAAACTGATAGATCTAAAAGGAGAAACAGATAAATCCATTCATTATAGTTGGGGCCTTTATCACCCCTCACTCAACAATTGATAGAACTGGACAGAAAACCAGTAAGAATATAAAAGAACTCAACAACATGAGACAATAGGATCTAGTTGATATTTATAGAACATTCCAACAGCAGAATACATGTTCTTCAAGTGCTCACAGAACACACATATAAAGATAGACCCTGAGCATAAAACAAGCCTCAACAAATTTAAAAGAACTGAAATACTACAAGTACTTTCTCCAACCACAAAAGAACCAAACTAGAAATAAATAACAATGATAATGGGAAAATCACCAAACACTTGAAAACTGAACAACAATATTTTATAACCCATGGTCATAGAGGAAATCTCAAAAGAAATTTTAAAAATGCACTGAACTGAATGAAAATGAAAACAACATAAAATTTGTGAGACACATAAAGCAGAACTGATGGGAAAATATATAGCACTAAATGCATGCTCTAGAAAAGAAAAGTCTTCAACCAGTAACCTAAGCTTCCACCTCAAAAACCTAAAAAAAGAAGGAAAAATAGACCCAATGCCAGCAGAAAGATGCAATAACAAAGAGTAGAACTCAATGAAATTGAAAACAGATAAACACTTTAAAGAATAAAACAAAGAGCTGGTTATTAGAAAAGATCAATTAATTGATAAACCTCAAGCAAGACCGTCAAAAAAAAAAAAAAAAGGACTTACCTATACCAGAGATGAAATGGGATATCGCTATCAATACTGCAAACATCAAAAGGATAAGTAGATACTATGAACTGTACACACATTAATCTGACAATTTAGACAAAATAGATCATTTCCCTAGAAAACACAAACTACTACAGCTTACCCAATATAAAATAGATTATTTGAATAGCCTTATAAGTACTAAAAAAAAATTAATTAAACTCATTATTTAAAAATTCCTAAAAAGAAAGCCTCCAGAGCCAAATTGTTTCCTTCAGAATTCCACCACATTCATAAAGATTTGACAGCAATTCTATACAGTCTCTTTGAGAAAATAGAAGGGGGTATTTTCTAATTCATTTTAAGGAGCTAGTAAATACCCTGATACTGAAATGTATACTGCAAATTGATAAAATTATAGACCCCTGCATATTAAATTTCAAAATAAAAATGATAAAAATACTTGGGTAATGAATAACAGCATAACAAAAAACCACAGACCAATATCTCATGAACATAGACACAAAAAATGCTTCACAATATGACATAGAATTCAGTAATACATGAGAATTATATACCACAACCCAGTAAGACTTAATCCAAGAATGGAAGACTGGCTCAATATTTAAAAATCAATCGATGTAGTGCAAATATTAATAGCTAATGAAGAAATGTCATAAAATTAATGCAGAAAAAGGATTTGACAAAATTCAACACTCATTTATGTAAAAATGCTCTGAAAAATAGGAATTAAAGGACACCTACAAGAAACTTTCAGCTAACATAATTCTTAATGCTGAATGATTGAATGTTTTCTTCCTGAGCTTGAGAATAAGGTGAGGGTATCATCCCTAATGACGCTTATTCAACATAGTGCTCAAAGTTCTATGAAGTGCAATTAGGCAATAAAGGGAAATAAAAGACAGGTAAAAGAAGAAATTAAATTTTATTTGAAAAAGCTGATTGTCTACCTAGAAAATCTCAAGGAAAACACTATTAATATACAGAACAACCTGAATGAATCTTTGGAGAATTACGCTGCATCAGAAAAAGCCAATCACAAAAGATTACATACTATGTAATTCCATTTGTATAACATTTTGAACTGACAAAAGTATAGAAATGAACAGATTAGTGGTTGTTAGGGGTGAGGGGTTATGGGTCAGAGATAGGAGTTGGGGATATAAAAAGGCAACCTGAGGGATCCTTATGGTGATTGAAACATTCTGTATGTTGGTTCTATCAATGTCAATACTCTGGTTGGACTATGGTTCCACAGTTTTGCAAGATGTTATTGAGGAAAACGGCATAAATGGTGCCCAGGATCTCTCTATTGTTTCTTACTGATTATGTATCTGCAATGATTGCAAAATAAAAAGGTTTAATTTTTAAAAAGGATTAAACATTACATAGCATACACTTGAGTAAAAGACAAAATCTGGCTAAGGATTATTTTTGTCCTAAGTAATATGTGGATTTTGTACAACATAAATCACAATCCCCTAAAATCTATATTGTAAATTGATAAAATGTAAAACCTGTGTATTACAGAATAAAAGATGAACAAAAATTACAAAACACTAAGAAATACCCTAGTGCCCCAATGTATCAGTAGACAAACACATGGACAGATAGTTTGCAAAAGGGGAAGTACATATGGTGAATAAACATTATGAGATGTCTAATATTGTTAGCTATCAATGAAACATGAAATAAAATGATGACATTGCACACATCTCAAGTCTCTGGCAGAGCACAGACCAAACTGAAATTTCCCACTTCACCTGGAATTTAACTTGCTTAATCATTTTTCCTCAATCTAAGTAAATTCGTAACTATTCTTTCTAAATACATTCACTAGAATAATCGACAAGACACTGTACATCTCTTGACTTCTTGACCTGCAGCTTCCTGATTGCCCTCTTGGCCTTACTTAGAAAATACCCACTAGCATCCTACTATTAGTATAATTCTCAAGTCTCTCCCTGGAAATAATAACAGTCTAGGAAAAGGGCCTACAACATAAACCTCAGAGGGGTTACAGATTTTTGTGAGAAATGATATCTTCATGGGGCACACCCCACTCACAAGCACTGGGTGTGACACTCCCAGGACCCTTGGGAGTGGTGGTTCTCTGCAGCTACAGACTGATATTACAAAGATAGGGCAACCTCATAGGGAAACCTCATGGGTTTCCGAGCCTTGAATGTGCCTCATAGTTTTATTTCTTCTAAGATATGTTTCTACTGGATTGAGTTATTGTCAGTCTTCACAATTTCTCTTCATTCAATGGAAAATTTGAAAAAGAATTAGGTGTTTGGTCTGAGACTGGGAAGTGGACAGGCCTGGCCCTGACATTTATGGGATCTACTCAAGGGTATAGAAGGAGACACACACTATGAGCAGTGAAACCCTGAAGCCAAGCCAACCAATTCCTGTTTACAACTTGCGCAGACCTCCCAACTCTGCTTATATCACCCGTTCCAGGTTAGAAGGCCAGATTCAAACAGAATTCCTGCAGAAATTCCTATAGATTCTCTCAAATCCTCAGCCAGAATATGGCAGCATTGAGAGAGCTGATCCCCTTTTGCCCACACCCCAGACTTCAGCTGGCAGCTGTCCCTTCTGTTTCCTTCCTGGGTTCTATCTTGTACTACAAGGGACCTCACAAACATGTATGTGGACACCCCAGCCATTGAGCTCTGTATTCATCTCACTAGGAGCCAATCTTAGGCCACCGTTCCTTGGGTTTTGGAATAGGCATATCAGCTTTGGGATCTGCTCTTTGGAAGTAGAGCTTTGTGAAGAGCCTGCACATGCCCAGAAGTGAAGCCAGGGCTGTTTTGGGCAAAGAATTCTGAGGATCCAGGGCCCAGACCATGAAAGGCATGGTAAGTTCTCTGAGTGAACAAAGATCTCTTTGGCCCCACCACTCTGCCCTGTGGAGAAGAGCTCAGCTAGAGAGTACAGTGAGGCTGTCAGAAGTATAAGGCCCAGGACAACGGGATGTTTAATGCCAGACATAGAGGTAATTGTCTGCAAAAGTGGAAAATTTTCTAATTTACCAATTGACCTATTATTCAATAATTAACAAGGAATTCAATTCATTTTATTCCCATCCATCCACATCAAATGGTCTTAATGAATCATTGTGCATATCTTCTCAGCATCTTAGGCATTCATAGGGAAGGAGAGATAGATATAAAGATTTGGTGGGTACTCCTTTTATGTTTTGAGGAATGACAAAGGGGATATAGAGATCGGAGTTTGGAGGTAGAATACAGCTCCACTTCTCTCTGTTGCAATATAATGGAATGTACCATACTGCTAAGATGGTCCCCCAGATGTTCACCTTTTATTTATGCCATATATCTTACTCAAAATTATTTGAGGCAACATTTCATTACAATTTAACTTTGTCCTTTTAAGCTTTTGTCATGACAAAAAGTACTTTCACGTATAACATTTCATTTTACTCTAGTATAATAGATTGCATTCAAGAGTTACTTTCTAATTTCTAATTTTTGGTTCATTAATAATAAACAACTTTACATATTGAGTAATTTTTATGCATCAGGTACAATGTTACATGCTGGGAATATAATAGTGAGTAAACAAGATAGACTATAAATTCAATGAAGACAGAATTGCGTCTATTGGAAAACACACTCCCAAAAAATCAGGAAAAAATTTCAAACAATTATTAATTTTAATAAATAGCTTTAAGGGGGGAAAATACAAAAGAACATATTAGATCATCAAGACAAAATTAACAAGGATATTCAGAACTTGAACTCAGCTCTGGATCAAGTGGACCTAATAGATATCTACAGAACTCTCCAACCAAAAACTAGAGAATATATATTATTCTTAGCACCACATGACACTTACTCTAAAATTGATCACATAATTGGAAATAAAACACTCTTCAGCAAATGAAAAAGAACTGAAATCAACAGTCTCTCAGATCACAGTACAATCAAATTAGAACTCAGGATTACAAAATTCAAAACCACACAACTATGTGGAGATTGAACAACGTGCTCCTGAATGACTCCGGGTAAAGAATGAAATTAAGGCAGAAATCAAGAAGTTATTTGAAACCAATGGGAACAAAAAGACAATGTACCAGAATCTCTGGCATGCAGCTAAAGCAGTGTTAAGAGGGAAGTTTATAGCACTAAATCCCCACATCAGAAAGCTACAAAGATCTCAAATCAATACTCTAACATCACAACTAAAAGAACTAGAGAACCAAGAGCAAGGCAAACCTCAAAGCTAGCAGAAGACAAGAGATAAGATCAGAGCAGAACTGAAGGAGAGAGAGCGACACAAAAAACCCTTCAAAAAAATCAGTGAATCCAGAAGCTGGTTTTTTGAAAAAATAAAATAGACAACTAGCTAGACTAATAAAGAAGAAAAGAGAGAAGAATTAAATAGACACAATAAAAAATGATAAAGGGCACCTAACCACTGACTCCACAGAAATACAACCAACCATCAGAGAATATTGTAAGCACCTCTATGCAAATAACCTAGAAAATCTAGAAGAAACGGATGAATTCCTGGACACATACATACTCCCAAGACTGAATCAGGAAGAACTTGAATCCCTGAATAGACCAATAGCAAGTTCTGAAACTGAGGCAGTAGTAAATAGCCTAACAACAACAACCAAAAAAAAAAAAAAAAGCCCAGGACCAAATGGATTTATAGCTGAATTCTACCAGAGGTACACAAAGGAGCTGGTACCATTTCTTCTGAAACTATTCCAAACAATTGAAAAGGAGGGATATCTCCCTAACTCATTTTATGAGGACAGAATCATCCTAATACCAAAACCTGGCAGAGATACAAGAAAGAAAAGAAAATTTCAGGCCATCAGTGCAAAAATCTTCAGTAAAATACGGGAAAACCGAATCTAGCAGCACATCAAAAAGCTTATCCACTACAATCAAGTCAGCTTCATCCCTGGGATGCAAGGCTGGTTCAACATATGCAAATCAAACATAATTCATCACATAAACAGAAAGACAAAAAACCACCAGATTGTTTGTCTTTTTAAATGTAGAAAAAGCCTTCAATAAAATTTCCAACTTTCCTTCATGTTAAAAACTCTCAATAAACTAGGTATTGATGGAGCATACCACAAAATAACAGCCATTTATGACAAACCAACAGCCAATATCATACTGAATGGGCAAAAGCTAGAAGCATTCCCCTTGGAAACCAGTACAAGGTAAGGATGGCCTCTCTCAGTACTTCTATTCAACACAGTATTGAAAGTTCTGGTCAGGGCAATCAGGCAAGAGAAAAATAAAGTGTATTTATATAGGAAGAGAGGAAGTCAAACTCTCTCCATTTGCAGATGACATAATCCTATATCTAGACAATCCCAGTGTCACAGCCTGAAAGCTTCTTAAGCTGATAAGCAACTTCAGCAAAGTCTCGGGATACAAAATCAATGTGCAAAAATTGCAAGCATTCCTATACACCAACAATAGACAAGCAGACAGCCAAATCATGAATGAATTCCCATTCACAATTGCTGCAAAGAGAATAAAATATCTAGGAATACAGCTAACAGAAGATGTGCAGGACCTCTTCAAGGAGAACTACAAACTACTGCTCAAGGAAATCAGAGAGGACACAAACAAATGGAAAAACATTCCATCCTCATGGATAGGAAGAATTAATATTGTGAAAATGGCCATACTGCCCAAGGTAATTTGTAGATTCAGTGCTATTCCCATCAAACTACCATTGATATTCTTCACAGAATTAGAAAAACTACTTTAAATTTTATATGGAACCAAAGAGGAGCCCATTTAGCCAAGACAATCATAAGCTACCTAGCCTCAAACTATACTACAAGGCTACAGTAACCAAAACAGCATGGTACAGGTACAAAAACAGACACGTAGATCAATGGAATAGAATAGAGAACTCAAAAATAAGACCATACACCTACAACCATCTGATCTTCGACAAACCTGACAAAAACAGGCAGTGGGAAATGATTTCCTATTTAATAAATGGTGCTGGGAGAACTGGCTAGCCATATGCAGAAAATTGAAACTGGACCCCTTCCTTACACCTTGTACAAAAATTAAGAGAAATTAAAGACTTAAATGTAAAACCCAAAACTATGAAAACCCTAGAAGAAAACCTAGGCAATACCATTCAGGACATAGGCATGGGCAAAGATATCATGACTAAAACACCAAAAGCAATTGCAACAAAAGCAAAAATGGACAAATGGAATCTAATTAAACTAGAGAACTTCTGCACAGCAAAAGAAACTATGAGAGTGCACAGACAACCTACAGAATGGAAGATTTTTGCAATCTAGCCACCTGACACAGGTCTAATATCCAGAATCTACAAGGAACTTAAGAAGAAAACAAACAACCCCATTAAAATTGGGCAAAGAACATGAACAGACACTTCTCAAAAGAAGACATTTATGTGGCCAACAAACATGAAAAAAAGCTCAACATCTCTGGTCATTAGAGAAATGAAAATTAAAACCACAATGAGATACCATCTCATGCCAATCAGAATGGTGATTAAAAAGTCCAGAAACAACAGATGCTGGAGAGGCTGTGGAGAAATAGGAATGCTTTTACACTATTGGCGGAAATGTAGATTAGTTCATTGTGGAAGACAGGTGGCAATTTTTCAAAGACCTAGAATGAGAAATACCATTTGACCCAGCAATTCCATTACTGGGTATATATCCAAAGGAATACAAATCTTCCTATTATAAAGATACATGCATGCATATGTTCACTGCAGTACTGTTAACAATAGCAAAGACATGGAATCCACCCAAATGCCCATCAACGATAGACTGGGTAAAGAAAATGTGGCACATATACACCATGGAATAGTATGCAGCTATAAAAAGGAAAGAGGTCATGTCCTTTGCAGAGACATGGATGGAGCTGAAAGCCATTAACCTCAGCAAACTAACACAGGAACAGAAAACCAAACACTGCATGTTCTCACTTATAAGTAGAAGCAGAACAATGAGAACACATGACACAGGGAGGGGAACAACACACACTGGGGCCTGTTGGGTGGTTGCGGGGAGGAAGAACAAAGGGGTAAATAGCTAATGCTTGCAGGGCTTAATACGTAGGTGATGGATTGATAGATGCAGAGCACCACCATGGCACACGTTTACCTATGTAACAAACCTTCACATCCTGCACATGTATTCCAGAACTTAAAATAAAATTAAAATTACAAAAGAAAAAAATGCAGAATATATAGCTACATAGGACTTTTAGCTCTATTTCAGGTAAATTTAAGAAGCCTTTTCTGACCACTCTATTAAAATTAACAATCGTTATTTCAGCACTCTTCCTCTCCTTCTCACTTTTCTCATACACACACATATGATCAGCTAACTTTTGATTTTTGCTCTCTCATATGTAAGCTCTATGAGAATAGGGACTGCTGCGTTTTTATTGTAATGGTTTCTACTCATTTTTTCTGGGACTGAAATAATGCCTGGCACACAGTACAGTAGTTCCCTCCCCCCTTATCCACAGAGGATATGTTCCAAGACCTACAATGGATGCCTAAATTACACATGATACCAAACCCTATATACAGACAGTCCCCAACTATAATGGTTCAAATTAAGATTTTTCAACTTTACAATGGTAAAAGCATATGCATTCAATAGAAACTGTACTTTAAGGACCTATACAACCATTCATTTTTTGAATTTCAACTTTTGGCTACAGGGAGTACATGTGCAAGTTTGTTACATGGGTATATTGCATGATGCTGAGGTCCGGGGTACAGATCCTGTCACCCAGGTAGTGAGCATAGTACCTGATAAGTACTATCAGATAGATTCATTAAAGAACTCAAAGCATGTTTATCATTTGATCCAGCAATCCCACTACTGGCTACCTATCCAAAGGAAAATAAGTCATTATATGAAAAAGACACATGCACACATGTTATTGCAGCTCGATTCATAGTTGCAAAGATATGGAGTCAACCCAAGTGCCCATCAACCAATGAGTAGATAAAATGTAGAATATACCCACCATGGAATACTACTCAACCATAAAAAAAAATGAAATGTATTTTGCAACAACTTGGATGGAGCTCCAGGCTATTATGCTAAGTGAAGTAACTCAGGAATGGAAAACAAAACACCATATGTTCTCATTTATAAGCTAAGCTATGAGTACCAAAAGGCATACAGAGTGTTGTAATGGACTTTGGAGACTCAGAAGTGGGAGAGTGGGAAGGAGGGTGGGAAGGGAGGTGTGAGATAAAAAAACTACATATTGGGTACAATGTATACTACTCTGGTGACAGGTGCACCAAAATCTCAGAATTCACCACTATATAATTCATTCATGTAACCAAAAACCACTTGTACCTCAAAAGCTATGAAATAAAAATAATTAAATAATAATATCTATTCTAAGTGGTATGAGATGGTATCTCATTGTGGTTTGATTTGCATTTCTGATAATGATGTAGCATTTTTTCATTCTTGTTGGACACTTCTTTTGAGAGTGTCTTTTCATGTTCTTTGACCATTTTTTCCTGGGGTTATTTGGTTTTTGCTTAAGTTCTTTATAGATTCTAGATATCAGATCTTTGTCAGATGCATTGTTTGTGAATATTTTCTTCTATTCTGCAAGCATCTGTTTACTCTTGATAGTTTCTTTTGCTGTGCAAAAGCTCTTTAATTAGATCCCACTTGTCAATTTTTGTTTTTGTTGCAGTTGCTTTTGGGGGCTTAGCCAAAAATTATTTGCCAAGGCTGATGTCAAGAAGGGTATTTCCTAGGTATTTTTCTAGCATTTTTATAGTTTGAGGTCTTACATTTAAATCTTTAGTCCATCGAGTTAATTTTTGCATATGGTGAAAGGGAAATATTAAGTTTTATTATTCTGCATGTGGCTAGCCAGTTATCCTAGCATCATTTGTAGAATTGGGAGTTCTTTCCCCATTGTTTGTTATTGTCACCTTTATTGAAGATCAGATGGTTGTGTGTGTGTAGCTTTATTGCTGAGTCTTCTATTCCATTCCATTGGTCTATGTGTCTGTTTTTGTGCCAGTACCATGCTGATTTGGCTACTGTAGACTTGTAGTATTGTTTGAAGTTGAATAGTGTGATGCCTCTGGTTTTGTTCTTTTTGCTTAGGATTGCCTTAGCTATTCAGGCATTTTGGTTTCATATGAATCTTAGAAAATTTTCCAGTTCTGTGAAAAACGACATTGGTGGTCTGATAGGAATAGCATTCAATCTGTAGATTACCTTGGGCAATACAGGCATTCTAAAGATATTGATTCTTCCTACTCATGAGCATAGAATTTTTCCAGTTATTTGTGTTATCTATGATTCCTTTTGGCAGTGTTTTGTAGTTCTCCTTGTAAAGATCTTTCAACTCTGGTTAGCTGTATTACTAGGTATTTCATTTTCTTTGTGGCTATTGTAAATGGGATTGTGTTCTTGATTTGACTTTCTGCCTGGATGTTACTGGTGTATAGAAATGCTATTGATTTTTATGCATTGATTTTGTGTCCTGAAACCTAATTTATTATAATAGTTCTAGAAGTCTTTAGGGTTTTCTAGATATATGATCATATTGTCAGTGAAGAGAAATAGTTTGACTACTTCGTTTCCTACCTGAATGCCTTGTATTTCTTTCTTTTACCTGATTGCTCTGGCTCGGACTTCCAGTACTATGTTAAATGGGAGTGGTGAGAGTGGGCATCCTTGTATTTTTCCAGTTCTCAAGGGGAATGCCTCCAGCTTTTGCCCATTCAGTATGATATTGGCTGTGGGTCTGATATAGATGACTCATTATTTTGAGGTATGTTCCTTTAATGCCTAGTCAATTGAGGGTCTTTTTTTTTTTTATCATGAAGGGATGTTGGATTTTATTGAAAGCTTTTTCTACATCTATTGAGATGATCATTATTTTTTACTTGCAGTTACAGGATCCAATAAATTATGTGAGATATTCTATACTTTAGCATAAAATAAGCTTTCTATGAGATGATTTTGCCCAACTGTAGGCTAACATAAGTGTTCTGAGCACATTTAAGGTAAGCTAGACTAAGTTATGATATTAGTATGTCTACTAAATATAATTTTGACTTATGATATTTTCAACTTACGATAGGTTTATCAGAATGTAGCCCCATGATAAGTCAAGGAACAGCTGTATACTGTTTTGTTGTTGATCTGATAACCAAGAAAGCTACTAAGTGACTAACAGTAAGTAGCATACATAGCATGGATATGCTAGACAAAGGGATAACTCACGTCCCAGGCAGGATGAAACAGAACAGTGCAAGGTTTCATTACGCCACTCAGAATGGTGTGCAATTTAAGACTTACCAATTATTTCTGGAATTTTTCATTTGATATTTTTAGAACACAGTTGACTGCAGATAACTGAAATCATGGAAAGCAAAACAGCAGTTAAGGGAGACTGTTGTCAGTGCTTAGTAAATACTTGTTGAATAAATAAATGAGGTCATAAGAAAAGGCTTTCTGAGAAATAAACATTTAAGCTGAGACCTAAATATGGAGCCAGTCGTGCAAGGAGGGGTGAAAAGAGAAGACTTTTCTAAGTGGAGGAAAGAGATACAAAGGCCCTGAGGCAGGGAAGAGACTGATGTACAAGGAACATAAGAAAGTCCATATGCTAGAAGCTTGTGTTGGGCAGTGGCTGGAGCTGAGGTTGGAGACATGAGTAGGACAAGGTTGTTCGGTGTCTCATAGGTTAAGGTAAAGATTGGATTTTATTGTAAATGAATTGGGAAGCGATACAAGCAAAGCAGTAATATTGGGGTTTAAACATGATCACGCTGGTTTGTGTGTGTGAAACAATTAAAGGATGACAAAAGTATAACCATAGAGATCAGTTATAAGACTGTTGCAACAACAGTGATAATATTACCAGTATTTATTAAGCACTTACTCCTATCAGGTAGTAGTCTAAGTGCTTTAACAAAATTTTAGTTTAATTAACTGGTAAATTTGATGCTTTTCAAATTGTTTTTTTCTTAAGCATTATTTTTCCATATTATAATCTACTTTAGTGTAATATCAGATACAGCAAAACAGTATCATTTTAAAATTTAATATGTTAATCTTTAATGGAACTCCAAAGAGAACACTATGATTCAAAGGGTTTTTTAGTTTATTATTTTTTTTTTTTTTTTGGTTTTTTGAGACAGAGTCTCGTGCTGTCACCCAAGCTGAAGTGCAACGGCACAACCTAAGCCCACTGCAAACTCTGCCTCTGGAGTTCAAGCAATTCTCCCCCCTCAGCCTCCAGAGTAGCTGGGATTACAGGTGCTCACCACCATGCCCAGCTAATTTTTATATTTTTGTAGAGATGGGGTTTCACCATGTTGGCCAGGCTAGTCTTGAACACCTGACCTCAGGTGATCCCCCTGCTTTGGCCTCCCAAAGTGCTGGGATTACAGGTGTGAGCCACCACACCCAGCCTTAAAGGCATGCTTTATCTTAAAAAAAAAAATGAGAAATGTTCTCCTAGATATTTAAGAATTACAGTTGATCCTTAGGCATCTGAAAATGGTGTTTAGAGACAATAATGAAGCTATGTAGGGGATATTCTAAACTGGGAATTCTTTTGGGAACTGGGTAGGAAAATCCAGCTATCAGAGGTGAAAGTCTAGGCTAACATGACTGCAGTGGGAAATACACGAAGATCAATGCAGGTTAATTGCAAAAAAAAAAAAAAAAAAAAAAAAGAATTTGAAGTCTCATTGAATAGAGGGGAAGCATGGAGGTAGGGGGGAATTAAAGATGTCTTCAAGGCTTTGAGAAACAGGGATGTAGTGGACACTGTTCATGCTCTGCCCAGATCCCCTTTATGTGTCTATTGCATCCGTCTTCCAAATGCCAGGGAAATTATGTCTTTTTATCCAGGGACAGCTGACAGCTAATGACTGACTTATACATCCTGGGATATGCCTCAAGGAGGGACAACTCTGTGGTGCCGTCCTGCTTCAGAGTTCCCTGTGGGATCAGGCTGAGGCTGGACTTCAACTGAAACCACATCTTGCTCAACTTCTGCTCTTGCCTTATCTGTTTCTTCTCCTTCCAGATTTCTCCTGAGAGAACTTCCTTAATAAATCACTTATGCAAGGATACCTGTCCTAGGCTCCATTTCTATGGATACTGACCTAAGATAGAAGAGTAGGGAAATACTGGAGCAACTGCCTTAGAAGGAAAAGTGGGAGAGCGGTGTTAATTTGTACTTGTTTGACAGATACTATCAATCTTTTCCCAAAGTAGTAAAAGCTCTCATGGTGCACCTTTTCACATGGGAAGGGTATGATCGCAGCTAGAGGAGGAAATTGCAAGATACTGAAGTAGTAGGCATATTTCAAGTACACTTCATCTAAATTTGACTTTTTAATACCATTTCCGTAACTATAGAGCCAAATGCCCATTGAACTAGTTCTAAGTGCATTTTATTAAGTGACCTAAATTTTAAAAATCGAAGTACTTTTCAAATAGAGAATAGAGGACCCATGAGCACCTAGGGATCTGTAAAACATCCCAAACAATTTTTCAAGTGTTTTATTTTTGGCAAAACTTAGTTTAACTCATTTTGCAAGTGCTCTTCTCTCAGTTTTTAAACCCTTGGGCATTTCAAAGGAAATTTAATCCGTATGTTTCTGATTCATTTACATTTTAAGTCATAAAACTGTTATTTTTATAAGGGCTGTTTGATATCCAAGAAACTTTCTGAGCCTTTTTAAAAATCTCTTTAAAGTCTTGTTAGTGGGAGCCAGGGAGCTGACATGGTGTGTGATGCACCACCCGAAAATGTAATCCAGACAGTCTCAGTCATAGACTGACCTCAGAACAATGCATGCCACAGCCAGCCAAAAAATAATGGCAATGTGATCATCAAGAAAGTTGGTCTGGACACCAGAGAACCCTTGAGACACACAAGAGAAGCCAACAGAAAATGATAGGAAAGATTAAAGTGAGATATACTAGCATGTCCTTGATGCATGTGCACATATAAGGACTAGACTAACCTCCATTATAGCAAGCCATGATTCCTGGCACCTTTCAGGAAGATCTGCAGATTTCTGCAGGACAAAGTCGCATATCACAACCCAAATACTTTAGGTAAAGAAAACTGTGCCTCCCCCCAGCATTGTAAATAATAAGGGGTCCAAATAACATTCAAGGACTTAAAGTAACTCACTGTATATTCTTACTACAGAGTACTAGGCAGCAATTAAAATGCTGATGTTAATAATACTTAAAGATGTAGAAAGATGTTCCTAGTTCATTGCTAAATGCAAAATGTGGTGACAAACCTGTATACAGAGATTAGGATCACATTTATTTAAAAAAGGACTATCAAATATATATGTGCATTGAAATATTAAATAGTAATTATCTGTAACTGGTAGGGTCAGGGTGTTTTTATTTTATTTGCTTTGTTATATTTTCTAACTTTTCTACAATATGCATTGTGTAGTTTAAAAAACTATTTGTCTACCTTTTAAAAATTATACAGAATAGTATTCCTATAATATTGTAGGAGAGCAATGCCCTTCTTTTTCTGCTTGTTTCTTTTGCTTGGTAACAACGTGCACGGGGTCCAAGCCGGAGGGGGTGCTGCAGCAAGCACTCGATGATCAAACTGTCTGAGAGTTGATGGAATGCAAGCGTTCATCTGGAATGGCTGAGTCTGTGGTGACCATGCTTTCTGAACCCCAAATTGGTCACACAGTCTAACCTGTGGGGGTGCATGACAGGATAGATTATTTTAAATCAGAACTGCTCTCAAACTTCCAGGACATATGGTCTTTCTGGCTGTGGGACACGTTGCTTCAGAAAGGAAGAAAAATTCTAAAAGGCAATCTGAGGAACTCTGAAGGAAAAAATAACAGCTGGTAATTTATAAAGCTATAGCTGCTGGTACTGAACATCCGCTGAACAAGAAGAACTCTTCATTCTCCCTTGTGTGACTGTAGCAGCATTTTAAATCCAAAGGCCTATTACTCTCACATCTGCTGGCATCTAGTCAGCTGCTGTTTAAAGTCCTCCCTGCACAAAATGAACACGGCTGCCAATATTAATTATCTCCATAATTCTCCTGAAACGTGTAAAATAAATGCTTTCCCCTGAAGAACCACTCTCCCTAATATCATTAGCACCCCATTTCCTCTCTGCTTTTCTACCATCCCCACAACCTCAGGGCTGGTTCTGAATAACAAGCTATTTTCCTGTCTGTTCAGCTGGGCTCATCACATCCTCTTTGATCATAAAGATGGAGTAATGCAAAGCAAAACCGTCCTTTTTGAGCTCCTATCAGTAGAGAAAAGTTAGATAAATAATCTTTAATGCTTTTTTTTTTTAAAGTGATTCCACAACATTCCAATCAAAAGGAATAGGATAAGTAGGGGAATCAGTTAATTATATAAAATCAAGTTATTTCAAGGTCCTGGAAAGACTTTAACGTTCTGTGATGATTCTATTTAAATATGCTATATTCTTACCTTCTGGAATAGCTAGATCCATTCTAAATAGGCATTAATTTTAAAGTTTAAAAATGATGAAAAGTTTAACCAATTGGCCTGTCATGGTTAATCATACTCTTCTACCAAACACTTTCTGCTCAACTTACAAGAAATGAACTCTCAGTTCCATGTCCTATGGGATAGTTTCCAAATGTTGGCAAATCTCTCTTCCGACGGAGAGCATTTTCTTCAAAAGTTTACCAGGGCCCTAGTTATGGATCGATGTCATATAAAGTCAATGTCCATCCAAATCAGACATACATGAATGAACTTCAGAAGTCCTTCATCCCATAGCAACGCAATGGGATGTTTTACTGATTCCCCCATCTGAGAAAGTTTAAGAGAGAGAGGGGAAGCAGGAGGAGGAGAGATGCAAGGAGGGGAAAGAGAGAGACTGACTTGAACTTTGATAAATTCATCCCCTAGTGTTCTACTTTTGTCATCGTGCCATGAGTCCTAGATTCAAATATCACCAAAGCAGTGGCCCCCAACATTAGACAGGATGTGAAAAATTGTTACAGACTATAGGTGCCTAATAATTATCTCATTATAAAGTGTAGGGTGATTCGTACAAAACAAAAAGACTGTATATACATCATACTATGAGAGGGAAAGTAACTTTCTCAGGAAAGTTGACCCTTGAGTTAAATGATTAGGAGTTAAACCAGGGGTAGAGTGTGAATGCAGAGGATAAATAAATGAATAATATTATCAAGTATTTTTTGGTCAATGGGCATTATATCGCTACCAATTAGAGCTGGTAGGCATATAGACTACCCCCCTCCCAAAAAAAGAAAACAGATCAGAACTAAATTATGATCAAATGTATATTTGAAAACAATTAAAATATTTTGTTAATTTTTAAAAAATCAACATCCCTCATCTTAAGTAAATTTTTTCTCATCGGAGGTCCAGCAACATTTTATTCTCTGGCTACTACTGAATCATGTAAAACCAAGCTCTCATTTTTTTCAGAAAGCAAACAAAAAATTGTGTGATGTTTGAGAATACTTTTTTTTTTTTGAGACGGAGTCACTAAGTTCAGCCACACTCCAAGTGAGGGAAACTAGCCTCTACCTTTTGAAGAAAGCCATATCACTGCACTGTCGCCCAGGCTGGGGTGCAGTGGCACAAACTCGGCTCACTGCAACCTCTGCCTCCCAGGTTCAAGCAATACTCCAGCCTCAGTCTCCTGAGTAGCTGGGACTACAGGCCTGCGCCACTGTGTCTGGCTAATTTATTTTTTATATATTTTTAGTAGAGACAGGGTTTCACCATGTTGGCCACACTGGTCTCGAACTCCTGACTTCAGGTGACCCACCTGCCTCCACCTCCCAAGGTGCTGGGATTACAGGCATAAGACACTGTGCCCAGCCTCTTTACTATTTTTTTTTAACATAATATTGTGTTTGAAAAAGCATGTAAGCCCAGGACTTTGAGACTAACCTGGGCAACATGGCAAAACACCATCTCTACAAAAAATACAAAAATTAGCCGGGTGTGGTGGGACACATCTGTAGTCTTAGTTACTCAGGAGGCTGAGATGGGAGGATTGCTTCAGTCCAGGAGGCTGAGACTGCAGTAAGCCCAGATCACACTATTGCACTCCAGCTTGAGTGACAAAGTGAGACTATCTCAAGAGAAAAAAAAAAAGAAAAAAGAAAAAGCATGGATTTAGGTTTGAATCCCAGATTCCCCACCCATCAGCTTTGTGATGTAGCATATTAACTTTTCAGAGACTCAGTTTCCTCATCTGTTTTAATAGTGGCCAACATTTCTTGTTTAATGGAGCTGTTGGTAGACTTTAATTCAATTATATTTATAAGGGTGATAATATAGTATCTGGCATACAATCCATGTTTATTCTCTTCTTTTTCCCTTTCCTTGGGGATAGGGGTCTGAGAAGGGGAAATGAGATAGCCCAAGCTCATCATCTTAGAAATAGTGCCCATGTTCAGGCAACACTAATATTTGCATGGTTGGCCTGATGTAAGTTAGCCAAGCCTGACTCAGTCTGATCATGTTCCTTTTCATCAGCTGGAAAAAAAAAGTAATATTTAGTTAGGGATTTGGGATGTCAGTAGAAAGCTAGTGCTCACCATTTCATTTACACAATGGAGAGACACCTGCAGTGTAGCTTGCAGAACAGAATAGAATTGTTATAAAAAATATCCCCTATGGCAGCAAGGACACTTACAGTTAATGAGCTAATAAATATTGTCAAGTGACCTTTCTCTTGCCAAGTATTAAATCATAAAGAGGGGGGAAGGGAAGGATTAGAACGGCATATTTGCTACAGAGTTCAAATTCTGAGCTGCTTCTGGCAAACTTTTATTACAATTGACCACATCTTAGGCTTGTCAGTCCACCATTTCCCCATATTGCCTGACACTGCATGTTTGTTCTGTAGGGCAGAGACTTCTTTCTTGTGGATCAGTATCTGGTAGGAAGCACAATGTTCTTTTTCCTTTCAGGAATGGCCTTTTGCAGGTTTGTCTCTCCTGTTGCTGCCACACCTAAGGAGAAAGATTGGTCTTCCCCACCGCAAAATTAGCCTTTACAGTCTCATTTCATAGTCTCATGTCTCTCCAGAGATTGTTATGAACACTTGTTCTCAGTATTTGCTCAAAAATGTGTGAATTTTTAATTTCCAACCTTGACACTCCATTCCAAATATCTGGTCTGTTCCAATTCTTTTTCACTGGACTGACACTACAACTCACCATTTCTTCAACTTCTAATTAGAGCCAGTGTGGTTGTTTTAGAAAATGTCCACAAATGCTTTGATATGGCTTTCTTCAAAAGGTAGAGGCTAGTTTCCCTCACTTGTAGTGTGGCTGAACTTAGTGACTTCTAACAAATACAATGTGGTAAAATTAATGTTGTTAGACTTCCAAGACTAGATCATAAAAGGAATAGTGACATTCTTTCTGTTCTTTTTCTTGGATTAACCACTTTGGGGAAAATCAGTGCTATGAGAATTCTCAAATAACTGTGTGGAGAAACCCACAGGGCAAGGAATGTAGGCTTCCTGCCAATAGCTATCAGAGTCAACCATCTTGGAAGCAAACCCTCCAGCCCCAATTAAGCCTTCAGATGACTACAATCTTGGCTGATGCCTGTTTGGCAACCTCATGAGAAACTCTAATAGAAAATCATCTAGCTAATCTGCTCCTAACTTTCTGACCCAAAGAAACTGTGAGGTAATAAATGCTTATTGTATTAAGCTACTAAGTTCAGTAATTTGCTAGGCAGCAAAAGATAACTAATGGAGATGGATTGTAAGATGTGTTCCTGGTCCCCTGCTTACTTACGGATTACAGAATAAGTTTTCTTTGAATACTTTTATTTTTCCCAAAGAAATGTTACATTTCTGTTCAGCATTACTAGAGTTATTTCAATGCATGTCTTTATGAAGTAGTGGAGATTTTTATTTGGGGATTCCAACCTTCAAATAGATCTCCAGTAACACAAACAAATGGAAAGACATTCCATGCTCATGGATAGAAAGAATCAATATCCTTAAAAATGGTCATACTACCCAGAGCAATTTATCAATTCAATGCTATTCCTATTAAACTACCATTGACATTCTTTGCAGAAAAAGAAAAAACTATTTTAAAATTCATATGGAACCAAAAAAGATCCCAGATAGCCAAGGCAATCCCAAGCAAAAAGAACAAAGCTGGAGGCATCAGTCTACCTGACTTCAAACTATATTACAGGGCTACAGTAGCCAAAACAGCATGGTACTGGTACAGAAACAGACAAATAGACCAGTGGAACAGAATAGAGAAACCATAAATAGGGCTGCACACTTAACAACTTCTGATCGTATATAACAATCCTTATAAAAGCAATGAGGAAAGGATTCCCTACTCAATCAATTGTGCTGGGATAACGGGCAAGCCATATGCAGAAGACTGAAACTGGACCCCTTTCTTACACCATATATGAAAATCGACTCAAAATGGATTAAAAAATTAAATGTAAAACCAAAAACTATAAAAACCCTGGAAGATAACCTAGGAAATACCATTATGGAACAGGTAAAGATTTTATGATGTAGACACCAAAAGCAACTGCAACAGAAGCAAAATTTGACAAATTGGATCTAATTAAACTAAAGAGCTTCTGCACAGCAAAGGAAACTATCAACAGAGTGAACAGACAACCTACAGAATGGGAAAAAATTTTTGCCAGCTATGCATCTGAAAAAAGTCTAATATCCAGCACCTATAAGAAACAAATTTACAAGAAAAAGGGGCCTAAGACATGAATAGACACTTCTCAAAAGAAGACATACATGCAGCCAATAATCATGAAAAAAAGCTCAACGTCACTGATCATTAGAGAAATGAAAATCAAAACCACAATGAGATAGCATCTCACACCAGTCAGAATGGCTATTAGTAAAATGTCAAAAAATAACAGATGCTTGTGCGGTTGTAGAGAAAAAGGAATGCTGATACACTGTTGGTGGGAGTGTAAATTAGTTCAACTGTTGTGGAAGACAGTAGGGTGACTCCTCAAAGACCTAAAGGCAGAAATATCATTTGACCCAGCAATCCCATTACTGGGTATATACCCAAAGGAATGTAAATCATTCTTTTATAAAGATACATGCACACATATGTTCACTGCAGCACCATTCATAATAGCAAAGACAGAATCAACCCAAATGCCCATCAATGATTGACTGGATAAAGAAAATGTGGTACATATACACCACAGAATACAATGCAGCCATAAAAAAGAATGAGATCATGTTCTTTGCAGGGAAATGGATAGAGCTGAAGGCCATCATCCTTAGCAAGCTAACACAGGAGCAGAAAACCAAATATGTCATGTTCTCACTTATAAGTGGGAGCTAAATGATGAGAACACGTAGACGAGAACACCACATATAGGGCCTTTAGAGGGTGGGAGGAGGTAGAAGATTTGGAAAAATAACTAATGAGTACTAGGCTTAATACCTGGGTGACAAAATAATCTGTACAACAAACCCCCATGATACAAGTTTACCTATATAACAAATCTACACTTGTATCCCTGAACTTAAAATAAAAGTTTAAAAGGAAGACACAAACAGATCTCTGGGAAAGATGTAGCCTCAAAGCAGAGTGTTATCCCTGAGTCTGCTTGCCCTTCCTTTGCCTGTCTTCACTTTTCTCCTCTTGGGACTTCCTTTGAGCTCCCTCTTTACTGTCAGATCCTGCCCTGAGGCAAAAACTGCCTGGGTGGGAGTGTTTGCTGCAGGGAAGGCACACCTGTAAGATGGGTGGGAGGGGCCAGACACAGAATCAGAGAGGCCTTGCCTAAGCCTGGAGAAAATGAACTGTCATTGCCAGAATGGAGAAATAGAAATTAGTAGGTGCAGGCCTACATTACAAGCAAGAGAGGGATAAAAACCCACCTCCAATTTGAGGTGCAAGTGAAAGACTTGGCTAATGGAAAAACAAGTCATGACATGAGAACGAGGCTCAGGAGGAATTTGGCATCTCCAGTGGCATCAAGAGGTTCTGAGGTTCCAGTGACCTCTTCCTTTAAAAGATACTCATTCTTCTCTTGTCTTTGGTGAAATCACAGGCTCCCAAGCTTCTTCCTAAGTTTCTGGGTCTTTGCTCTGTCCTTCTCCACTGGTGGATCTCTAAATGTGACAATGTCCCAGGATTCCATCCTGAAACTTTTTCTTTCTGTATGCACTCACCCCAGGTGACATCATTTGACCCATGGCTTGAAATGAATCTATAAGTCAATGATTCCAGATCAACATCTCTGGACTTCAGGTTTATATATCCAGAAATATTCTATCTCTGCGTGGGTGTCTAAAGAGCAGCTCAATCATAAGATGATCCTAAAACCAAACCCTTAATTCCTACCCCACAACAAATTGGCTTGTGATTTTCTTGGTTATGGATTTTTTAAAATTACTTTTGCTCAACAAGTGCCTAAGCCCCAAATCTAGAAGTTATCTTGATTCCTCTCTTTCCCCTAGCAACCACATTTTGCCTATCAGCAACTCCTATTAAATTTGCTTCTGAAACTCACCCTGTTCTTTCACCTCGTCCACTTATTGCTGTAAGCTAATGTGTGCTAGTACATACACTCTTCACCTCCATGATCCATTTCCCATACTATAGCTGACTTTTAATTTAAACAATTCAGATCATAACTTACAATTGTTTTATTACTGTGAGAACAAAATCCATATGTTTCACCCTGATTTTATAAAGCCCTCTATGGCCTGGTGCAGTGGCTCATACTTGTAACCCCAGCTCTTTGGGAGGCCAAAGTGGTAGGATCACTTGAGCCGAGGAGTTCACGACCAACCTGGGCGACACAGTGAGACCCCATCTCTACAAAAAACAAACATTAGCTGGGCATGGTGGTGCATGCCTGTAGTCCCAGCTACTTGGGAAGCTGAGGTGGGAGGATTGCTTGAGCCTGAAAGGTTGAGGCTGCAGTAAGCTGCAATTATGCCACTGCACTCCAGTCTGGGCTACAGAGCGAGACCTTGTCTCAAAAAATATATATGAAGCTCTCCATGATCTGGCTTCTGACTTGCATATGCCCTTCAACTCCTTCCAGGCACACTGATCTGGCTTCTGTTCCTGCAACACATCAGGCACCTTCTTATCTTAGGACCTTTGCACTTTCTGTGCCCTGAGCTTCAATTCTCTACTTCCTGATCTTTGCATGTCCAATTCCTTCTTGACATTTGATCCTTAACTTCAATATGACTTCCTCCAAGAGGCCATTCCCAACCAAACTCTCTAAAATAGCCATTCAGCTTCTCATATCACTTAATTTCAGTTCTTTGCCCAACTCTATCAAAACTATCTTGATAATTTTGTTTTACTTTATTTGCCTTATTTTCTTTTTTGTAATTTTTTTTTAACTTTTATATCCCATTCACCTAGAACAGTTCCTGGTACAAAGTAAAGACATAGTTAATACTTAATAAATATTAAGAAAGAAATTGGCCAGGCACAGTGGCTCATGCCTGTAATCTCAGCACTTTGGGAGGCCAAGGCGGGTGGATCACCTGAGATCAGGAGTTCGAGACCAGCCTCTACTAAAAACACAAAAAATTAGCTGGGCCTAGTTCTGGGCACCTGTAATCCCAGCTACTTGGGAGGCCGAGGCAGGAGAATCGCTTGAACCCGGGAGACAGAGGTTGCAGTGAGCCGAGATCACACCATTGCACTCCAGCCTGGGCAACAAGAGTGAAACTTTGTCTCAAAAAAATAAATATTAAGAAAGAAATAATGAATGACCTCCTGTGTTCCTAAGGTGGGGCTCAAAGAAATAATGAATGACATCCTGTGTTCCTAAGGTGGGGCTCAATAATATTCCCCAGTTCTTCCCTCTGTTAATTTTTTGATGAAATGCTTTAATGTTGGGAAGTCATAAATTTGGAAACGAGCAAGAGTTTCTGTCTGACTAGGATCCTATTTGTGTCCTGAGAATACAGTTCCTCATTTCCAGGAGGGCTTGGTGACAGGACTGATATGGAAGACTGCCATATGGTACATTGGTATGCACCTGCCATGAGAACACTCATTGGAATAAACAGGAAAATTATGGAAAGTGGCTGGCTACAGAGGACTTGACATTTTGCCTCACAGCTCTGAGGGGAAAAAAGGCAGAACTATTGAGAAAGTATATGCACATATTAATTGGCATGTCATACACCTCCCTGGAGTAACACTAATTTGAGAAGGAGAAAAAAAGTCTTTCAATTTTTTTTATAGATGAATACCAAATACTTTTGCTTTATTATGTACAGCAGACCAAATTCTCATTGTGTACATACATCCAAAAATCTATGTGTGGTGCATACACATGAATACCTGGAGGTTAAACTAACACCACAGTAGAAAAGATAAACAACCATATTTCTTTGTTTTTATTTATTTATTTTGAGATGGAGTCTCACTCTGTTGCCCAGGCTGGAGTGCAGTGATGCGGTCCCAGCTCACTGCAACCTCCACCTCCCGGGTTCAAGCGATTCTCCTGCCTCAGCCTCTTGAATAGATGGGATTACAGGTGCCTGCCACCACGGCCGGCTAATTTTTCTATTTTTAGTAGAGATGGGGTTTCACCATGTTGGCCAGGCTGGTCTGTAAATCCTGACCTCATGATCCACCAGCCTTGGCCTCCCAAAGTGCTGAGATTACCAGGCATGACCCACTCTGCCCAGCCACATATTTCTTATTTATGGTTGTGTTTATACTTCTAGCTTCTAGGCAACTTAATTGATTTGAATGTGGTATGTCCTTGTTAACAACTGTCCGAGCACATGACAAAATGACTCAGGCTAATATCCTGGTTTTGAAATATAGCATGTCAAGGTGAAAGGAATGATAGAAATATTTCAGTTCTTTTTTTTTAAACACTCGAGAACAAGTTTCCAGAGATGTTATATCACTTTCCCAAAGTTCCATAAGTATATAGCTGACACAAAGAAGAACATGCTATAGAAATGTAAACACACTTTAATTTGCTCATTAACATATTAAAAGTGAAACCCCAAACTCAAGCTAGTAACGCTGAGATGAGAAACATTTTATTCAGTTAATGAAGAGACTTTCTCTACCTCATATATTCATCAGTTCATTCTGTAATATCAAATTTGGACATATACACATATAGACATAGATACCTGTATTCTGTCTTTTTTCACTGACCTGAATTTTTAATTTGATAGTTGAAATGCTAGTCAAGCAATTTTTTTTATGACTCAAATTTTCAATCAAGGAGTTAATGAATAACTGTGACATATTTTATATACATAAAAGCCACACACAGTGATATCTTAACATAGAGCTTTTCCAGGGACTAGTCAGGAGTTACAAATGGGAAAATTCTTAAATGGCATATATCTCCCACCCACCTTCCTTGTAGCTCAGTTCTCTAAGGAACACTGACATTATTTACAAAAGCTATGAGCTACCAAGAGGATATAAAAATGCTGAGTTGCTCAGGCAGAAGCATCTTTACTATACAGATGCTCAGAAGATCAAAAGCTAAAGTCAAAGTTATTTTTTGCATACTCTAATGTATTAGAGAACTTTAATTCTGTAGTCTAATTTTTAAAGTTGTATAAATGTCCAATAATATCTGCTAAAAGAAAAGAGGGAATAGGAAGAAGGAAAGAGAAAACGTCAAAAAATTCAATAGCCCCCATTATGCACCAAGGCAATTAAAGAGACATTTCATGAAAAGGAAAGATGAAGGAGAGAGATCAGTTCTTTTTTTCTTTGAGACAGAGTCTCACTCTTGCCCAGGCTGGAGTGCAGTGGCACAATCTCAGCTCACTGCAACCTCGACCTCCCAGGTTCAAGCGATTCTCCTGCCTCAGACTCCCAAGTAGCTGGGACTACAGGTGTGCACCACCACACCCAGCTTATTTGTGTATTTTAGTAGAGATGGGGGTTTCACTATGTTGGCCAGGCTGGTCTCAAACTCTTGACCTCAAGTGGTTCACCCACCTTGGCCTCCCAAAGTATTGGGATTATAGGCATGAGCCACCATGCCTGGCAAAGATCAGTTCTTAAAGCTGTAGTGATGGTGATATCTGATTTCCAGAAGATGGACATTAACACTGTCTACTATTGGTGGCAACATCAAGAATTGCACTTAGTCTTGAAGCTACATTTAGCGAGCACATTACTATTACCTTTAGATTGTATATTTATTTGGGTAGAATGGGGCACTGATTAAAAAGAGGTGGAGGGGGGACTAAAGCACCCTTACACACAGCCCACCATTTAGATTTGCCACTGCAGTTTTATACTTTTTAGGTTGGAGAAACAATTAATGCAGGAACAAAGGACATGAAGAAAAACTATAGTATTAGAGCTGGAACAGATCTAAGAAATCATCAGGTTTGTGGTCTGATGGCCACACAAGAAGCTGAACAAAAGGGGTAATTATTGAATCTGGGTGATAGAAACATGGAGGTTTTATTATAGTATTCTCACTAGTTTATGTGTATTAGAAAATGTTAATAGAAGAAGAAGGAAAGAAAGAGAGGCTTCAAGTCCTACGAAAGAGAAATACTGATCATTTCCCCCTAAACTAATAGTAAATGCCATTGCAAAGGACTTTGCACTCAATACTTTGCTCTTGTACTATGTCAAAAGAAACCATGACCAATTTTCTCTTTTGCGGAGATTGTCCCACCAACTGCCTCAACTCTTGGAAACAAGTAACCCCTTTGAGAGAGTCAGAAACAGGAGTCTGGATCAGTACAAAAGCAGAAAATGAGACATAAAATCAAAACACCCCATGCTCTCAATCCTCTGTCGATCTCTGTGCCACCAGAAAGGCAAACCCTGCACATCTGCTTTCCACTGCACAGCTGCGTCACGGACATCAGGTGGGGTACTACTTTATGGATTCTATTTGCAATCATTGTATAGACTCTCAATACTAAGCAAGCCCAGAAATGAATGTTAGCTTTGTATATGCCAAATTAGGAACCTACCTTTTCAGATGCTAAATTCAGAAGGTGTTTAGAAGGAGAATTAAGGGAATTTGACTTGATGAGAAGGTAGCTCTTCATGGAAAATTGAAATGAGTAGAGAGACCCAGTGATATTCCAACCCAGGCATTGTTTGTCCCTGTGCTGCTGAGGGTTCCTCTGGCCACACACAGGCTGAAAAACCCCTAGGAACTTCAGCAAGTTCCCTTGGAAGTAATTTTTAATAAAGTCCAATCAATCCGCCAAAAGTTTACCATAGAACATGTTAGGTGCCAAGTGTTATACTATGTCATAGAAATAAGATACAAATGACTTCAAGAAAATCAAGGTCAAGTGGGTAAGATTAAGAGAAATATCAATAATAATACATCTGACACATGTATTGCTAGGTGTTTATCCAAGGAGAAATCTCATGAAGACAGTAAGGAAAGCCTAGAAAGAGGACATGGCATTTGAGCTGAGTTTTGAAGGATGAATAGGAGCTCACCTACTGAAGGTATGGAAAGGGAGTACATTGCACGACGACAGAGCAGCATGAATAAAGTTCCTGAACTACACACAGGCGTGAAATGTACATACTCCATCTACTGGGTGGGTTGGTCTTCTGGCAAACATGGTATGCCTTTGATGAGTGAGGCACCATGTCCCCAAGCTGGGTAGGGGTGATGCAAATAGCAATCCGATGTGGCATCTGCCCAGAAGAGATAGCTGTGAAGCCTGCTTATGGCTGCTGGTGAAGGTCTCATCTACACTTGAGCTGGAGGTCAGGAAACAGAAAGGGCTCTTTTCCTACCTTGGGCATGAGCATCCCACACAGAAGGAAACTCAAGCGCCCCCTCCCTGCTCCACCCCACCAGCACAGGGATTTAGGAACAAGTGGAACAGCAACACAAGGTAAGCCTTAGGCACAATTTCTGAGACAGCAAAGCATGCCTCTGTCTTTGGATTTACTTAGATCTCATTTTTCTTACCATCTGCTTCTTGTCACACCCTCTGCTCCCAACAAAGTTTCATCTACAACCCTTCGGGCCTCTAATACTCAACAACCCCAAGCCCACTTTACCCTAGACTACCTTTCCCAGAAATTGCTTATTCTAAAACTGTGTCCTTTCTGCCCAAAAAAGCTTCTATTCTCAACTACAGGGACCTCGACTTGATATTAAAGGAAAATGAGCAAAGTGAAATAGTCCTTAGTAAGCTGTGAATGATGCAAATTCTCTCAGATCTCCCTGGGGACTAATCTTCTCTTTTAATAGCACTGTTTAACTCAAATTCCAGGTGGCATTTCTGGTAGTTTGAAGGGAATGTCTTAGGATCGGGACTTGTTTCAGTGATTCATATAGTCTACAACCAGCACACAGGCTCCACTACCCACATGGAAGCTGACCCTGGGAACCGGGAGGGAAACAATCATTCTTAGGCTGGCCTTTTTTTTTTTTTTTTTTTTTTGAGATAGGCTCTGGCTGGGATGCCCAGGTTGGAGTCTAGATGGCACCATCATGGCTTACTGCAGCCACGTACTCCCGGGTTCAAGTGATTCTCCCACATTAGCCTCCCAGGTAGCTGAGACTACAGGTGTGTGCCACCATCCCTGCCTAAATTTTTTAATTTTTTTTTTTTTTTTTTGGAGAGACATGGTCTCACTATGTTGCCCAGGCTTCTTAGGGCTTTTTAATTTGCTCACCTACCTGAGAGAGGAGACAGCTGCTGCTGTTCTGTTTCTCAAATCTGTACTATGGTGAGCCCTAGGCTGCTCTGGGCTACTCTATTTCTCCATGAAGGCCTACCAAAGCCTGTTTGAGAAAGGTCATGGGAGAGAGCTGCCCAGAAGCAAGGTAAACGTGCTTCCAGTACCAAGGGCTGCCATGATCAGTTCCAGCCACCAAACCACTGCATTCAGTCAGGGACTCATGGCAGCCCTGCCACTTCAGAGAGGCCTCTTATTCCTCCTTCATCCCCCACCCACCTTGCTAGATTTCCTTGTTCCTTCTCCCAGGTGACCAGGCATTGCAGAGCTGTTCAGAGGAATTTGGTCCAGATTCTAACATCGTCTCTCCTAGCCACTAGGTGTTTAGCCCTTGCCCCATTTTCCAATTCAATTAGGACTTTCTAGGAGGCCTTGGATTCACAGGTCCCTATCACTGGTACACTAAGTCCTGTATTTTCTTCTGGGACACAGTCCTGACAAAGCCTTCTCTGGCTCACATCTCACCCCAGCTGGGACCCCTCTGAAAAGAGAATTGATCTTTTGGAAACTAAAGCATCAAGCCCTCCTCAAAGCCTTGGGTTACATATCCACGAACGAGGCTAGCCCACATCCCAGGCGGTGGTTCCTGCAGTAGTGCCACATGGCCTAGTGGTCACTGAAGCTCATCCTCCTGCAGCTGGGCATGTTGTCACCCTAGTGGTCTCACAACCAGAAAGGGCGGCTTTGAAAGAGATCATAACCAAACTCTTGCCAAACTAAAAGGATCAGGAGTCTGGAATGTTTTCACCTCTTTGTTTCTCCAGTTTCAGGAAAATAGACAAAAGTAATCTCAAGGGGTGACGGGAATCTTATCGGTCGAAGAGAACTCAAGGAAACCTCAGCTGTTTTGCAGGCTCATTTGTTTATTTTCTATGCAGTCACCCTGATAGCCCCACTGGGCTCACTTCCCTTCCCTGTAAACAACTGGCTCTAATTAAACTTTTTCTGTTAGCTAAAGGTATATAACCTTGGAGAGTCCATAAAAAAATGGCTTCACTCTTAAGACTTCAAAAAGCGCGTGGTCCCTTTGTCAGGCCCTTGACAAGGTTAATTTATGTCGTTGCTATCTTACTCTGAAGGATTCTGGTTACTCCACATCTGTTCTCTGTCTAATCTTTGTACGAACATTGCGGTGGTCTTGGCAGTTCAATGCATCTAGTGGGCTCTTAACTGTTTCCTGCCCAAAAGGTCCAAGCTTTCAGATTGGATTTTTCTCTCCTCTCTTTGCCCTCATAAAAGCTTTCAATTTCCTCTCACAGTGATCTGGCTGTTTCATGTTCTCCGACTCCAGCATGGAGAAACTCTCCCGCTCCCCAGACTGGGTGACTGCAAGAAGAGACTAAGAAGCCCTAGAAGGGAAAAAGGCAATGATTATTTGTGAAACGGAGAGAAAAGATTATGAGAGGGGAAATGATGCAGGAAAATATATATGGTAGAGAATGTGTTTTTCAACTTGTGGTTGCAATTACAATTTTTTAAATATTGAATAAACACATCAGAATATATTACATTAGTAAGGGCGTTCTTTTGTAAAATGTTTGCTTTGTCTGTGCCTGTGTGTGTGTGTGCATACATGTGTATATTCTGAGTCATAATTTAAAATGCACTTCTTCCAAGGTGCAGTCAAAATAGTTGAAAACCACTGGTGCAGTGCATTTGGAGTAGAATCTGCCACCCTATCATTTTCTACCAGCACAATTGTGAGCAAGTCCATTATCTTCTCCGAGTCTTTGATTTCTCATCTGCGAATTGGGAATATTACGTGCTCTACACACTTCACAGGTTTGTTGAGAGGACCCCAATAACAATGTGTGTGTAAGCTTTATACCAAAGCTCTAGACCAATCAAAATTCACTTCACAGACCAGAAAGAGCTCCACAAGTATCCTCAACAACAGTGCTAGATGGCAGACAAGAGAAAGCCTCAGACTCCAGCTTGGCTTCAAACCTTCACATATTATTTTACTTATTCAACAATATTTATTAGGTGCCTACTTTGCATCAGGGACTATGTTAGTGGATAGTAATAAACAAAGTTCTTGCCTTCATCTTGCTTGTATTCTAGTGAAGGAAGACATTTTAAAAATAGTGAATGATATGTTAAATTCTGCAATGAATACAAGTAGACAAGCGTATCTGTTAGTAATTTTATCTAAGAACTCATGCAATTTCTTTTAACAAGGTTGGTGGCTGAAAATGTTGGGAAATCACTGTTTAGTTGTGCTGCTTTACAGTCATGTGCTACGTAAGGTCTCCAAAGACTTTTCTTCAGGAGCTTTCTGGGGCAGTCAGCCTTGGGCATCTCCAGTTATGTCATCATTAGTTTTAATAAAAATAAGCCCTAAATTAACAAGAAGGGCTTCTTCTCCAGAAGGTAATAAGCATATGGAATTTATTGCCCAACCTAGTTGTAAAAGCCAAAACATAAACAGGTTCAAGACAGGTTTAGACAAATACATGGGTAATAAATGCATATGGTACTACAGATTCTTAAAAGACATTATACAAACTATATTAAGGGACTTAAGAGACTCTGGGTGCTCTCAGCTCCTTTGGGCCAAGCCATCTTCTAGCTCATTGTCATCAACACTATGTAACTGCCACATTATGACTTAAGTCTCAAATCTCAAGCTTTGGTGATTATTTTTAGCAGCAAAGTCCTAATCAGCAAACCACAGAAGTGGATTATAGACCACTTGAAGCAATAGGATAGCTGGTGGACTAGGGCTGGGAAACCTGGGGCCACATCCTAGCTTCTAGTTTTAACAAGTCAGTTAATATTTTTTTTTATTATACTTTAAGTTCCATGGTACATGTGCACAACGTGCAGGTTTGTTACATATGTATACATATGCCATGTTGGCATGCTGCACCTATTAACTCATCATTTACATTACGTATATCTCCTAATGCTATCCCTCCCACCTCCCCGCACCCCACAACAGGCCACAGTGTGTGATATTCCCCTTCCTGTGTCCAAGTGTTGTCATTGTTCAATTCCCACCTATGAGTGAGAACATGTGGTATTGATAGTTTGCTGAGAATGATCATTTCCAGCTTCATCCATGTCCCTACAAAGGACATGAACTCATCTTTTTTAAGGCTGCATAGTATTCCATGGTGTATATGTGCCACATTTTCTTAATCCAGTGTATCATTGATGGACATTTGGGCTGTGGGTATTGTGGAAGACAGTGTGGCCATTCCTCAAGGATCTAGAACTAGAAATACCATTTGATCCCGCCATCCCATTACTGGGTATATACCCAGAGGATTATAAATCATGCTGCTATAAAGACACAGGCACACGTATGTTTACTGCGGTGCTATTCACAATAGCAAAGACTTGGAACCAACCCAAATGTCAGTTAACATTTCTAAGGCTCACTTAGCCCTAGGTAAAACCATTAGTCTCAATGGCCTTTGATGACCCACTCAGCATGGGAAAAACAAAGCCAGAAAACCCCTGATATGAAATTTTATGAGATGCTACTCCTGTTTGTGGATAAACCAGCTGGTTACCACCATGATACTTTGTGAAGAAATAAGATACTTGTGAATTAGCCACGATCTCAGATCTGATCTTCAGTCTCACATAGTCAGAGAGTTGAATTTTTCAGCACATTGAAAGTGAGACTGCTTCTTGAAGGCAGTGCACATTAACCAAGCTAAGAGAGATTTATATGAAACAGAAATTCAAATTTTTACTAAAAATGAAAAAAAAATGGTCTAAGACAATGTCTGCAAACTACAGCTTATGAGCCAGCTCTTCATGACCCCTGTTTGTGTAAATTAAGTTTTACTGGAGCACAGCCCTTCCCATTGGTTTACCTAATGTCTATGGTGGATTTCCCCATGAGAGTGGCAGAGTTGAATCATTGCAACAGAGACAACATGGCCTGCAAAGCCTAAAACACTTAGAACTATGCCTTACCTTTTACAGAAAAACCCCGATGAGAGTATTTTTGTCAACACAATTAGCACATCCCACTGAAGGAATAAAGTGAGAAGTTTGCTTAGTGAGCAAAGGAGCAGAATAGATGGGCTTGAGTAGCATTAAGGAGTAGTTCTCAGCTAAGAAAGCATGAGACACAGTTGTCTATTACAGGGAGCATCTTGCTAGGGAAGCCATCACATTAAAATCCACAGATCGAGTTTCTTTTTCCTTTGGGCTATGCTTGAATGAACATTGCCAATATTTGCTTTTCTTTTGTTACTATGTCTCTGTTGCTGAATAATGCCCGTCAGATCAATACATTCTTTATGTAGCCTTATCAAAATTGGTCATATTTCCCCCCTCCAAAGAATCCACCTCAAAACAGTCACACATGTGAACGAAATACAGATATGACAAAGCCATGAAGTATAACACAGACGTGAACTCAAGATCTCAACTGGTAAAGGGTAGCTACTCTTTGCAATGTAGCAAATTTTTGAAAATCATCTTAACTGTCTTTCCCATATTAAATTTAAAAAATTTCTTTCTCCCTCTTCAATATTTTACTTTTTATCTTCAGTCTGTTTTTCTTCACGTAGGCATACCACCTTTCTTATTTTAAATTTTATTTCTGGGCATCACAGTGCTATTTCTTATATACATCAACTTAGTTTCTCTCACCTTCTCCTAATTATGTCCTATATGCCTCACAAAGATTTCATGGCTAACCAAGCAAGAGAAGAGAGGAGGGAAGAAAGAGAGGGAAAAGAGACAGGAAGAAAAGAAAATAGAAAAAAAGCTTGTGATTTTAAAATCTTATCCCTGCCATATTTCAATATGTAAATTAGTATGTGTTGAATTATGCCCCTCACTAAAAAAAATATGTTGCAATCCTAACTACCATTACCATAGAATATGACCTTATATCGAAATAGGGTTGTTGCAGCTTTAAACATCAAGTCATGTGGAAGTAGGATGGGCCTCTAATCCAATGTGATGGGTGTCCTTGTAAGAAGGTGGCCATGTGAAGACAGACACACCAGAAGAATGACAAGTAACAATGAAGGTAGAGATTGGAGTGATGCAGCTGTAAGCAAGGAATGCCCGAGATTGCAGTCAACACCGAACTCTAGGAAGCTAGGAAAAGCCAAGGAAGGATTCCCCTGCAGACTTCAGAGGGAGTAAGGCTCTGCTGTCATTTTTTTCCTGTTTTATTAAAGTGTAATTTTTATGTATTTATGGTATACAATATGACGTTCTGATCTATGCATATACTGCTAAATGATTAAATCAAGCTAATTAACACATCCATCAACTCACATACTTTTCTTTTGGTGAGAATATTTAAGAGCTACTCTCAGCTATTTTCTAGTGTAGAGTACATTATTAACTACAGTCACCATGCTGTATAAAAGGTCTCCAGAATTTATTCTAATTGAAACTTCTGCCCTTTTGCAGATATCTCTCCCTTCCCCTCTGCATTCCAGGCCCTGGAAATGAACCTTCTATTCTTTCTATGAGATCAATTTTTTAGGTTGCACATGTAAGTGAGATAATGTGGCATTTATCTTTCTGTGCCTGGCTTATTTCACTTAGCATGATGTCCTCCAGGTTCATCTATGTTGTTACAAGTGGTAGAATTTCCCTCTAAGTTGAAACAGTATTCAACTGTATATGTATACCACATTCTCTTTATCCATTCAGCCATTGATGGACACTTAGTTTGATTCAATATCTTGGCTATTGTGAATAATGCTGCAATGAACATGGGAGTACAGATACCTCTTCAACCTACTGATTTTATTTTCTTTGGATATATACCCAGGAGTGGAATTGCTGAAATGATATGGTAGTTTTATTTTTAATTCTTTGAGGAACATTCATACTGTCCTCCCTAATGGCTATACTAATTTACATTCTCACCACCAATGTACAAGGGTTCCCTTATCTCCACATCCTTGCCAACACTTATGATCTTGTCTTTTTGATAACAGCCATTCTAACAGGTTTGAGGTGTCATCTTATTGTGCTTTTAATTGTACTTCCTTGATGATTAATGATACTGCATTTTTTCACATTCACATACCTGCTGGCCATTCAGGTCTTTTTCGTATGATTTTTCATTGTAGTCCCTACTAATCCTTTGTAGTTGCACTATCAGTTGTAATGTCTCATCATTCATTTATTATTTGACTTTTAGATCGCCGAGCTATGGGTTTGTCAATTTTATTTATCTTTTTCACAAAACCAACTCTTAGTTTTATTGATGTTTTATATTGTTTTACCTCATCTCTATTTTTCATATTTCTACTTCGATCTTTCTTATTTTCTTCCTTCTACTAACTTTGCTTCTTAGTTTGTTTTCTACTTCTTTGAGATGTAATATTAGGCTGTTTGAAATATTTTTTAAAATCTAGATGTTTATTGCTATAAACTTCTCTTAGAAGTGATTTTGCTGCACCTTACGTGTTTTGGTATGTTTTGTTTCCGTTTTGTCTCAAGATTATTTCCCTTTTGTTTTTTATTCATTTGTATAGGATGATGTTTAATTTCCACATATTCATAAATTTCCCCATTATGTTTGTGTTATCCATTTCTAAGTTGCATACCACTGTAGTCAAAAAGATACTTCATATGATTTCAATCTTCCTGAATTTATTAGGACTTGTTTTATGGACTAATATATGACCTATCCTGGAGAATGTTCCCTATATACTTGACAAGAATGTGTATTCTGCTGCTGTTGGATGGACTGTTCTATAATATGTCTGTTATGTCCATTTGGTCTAAAGTATAGACAAATTCAATCTTTCCTTATTGGTTTTCTGTCTGGATGATCTGTACAATTGTTGAGAATGGAGGGTTGAAGTCTCTTATTATTGTACTGCTATCTATCTCTTCTTTTAGAGCTATGAATTTTGCTTTATATATTTAAGTGCTATGATGTTGGGTGCCTACATATTTACAATTTTTTTTTTGAGATGGAGTCTTGTTCTGTCACCCAATCTGGAGTGCAGTGGTGCAATCTCAGCTCACTGCAACTTTCGTCTCCTGGGTTCAAGTGATTCTCCTGCCTCAGCCTCCTGAGCAGCTGAGATTATAGGTGTGCACCACCACACCTGGCCAATTTTTGTATTTTTAGTAGAGATGGAGTTTCACCATGTTGGCCAGGCTGATCCTGAACTCCTGACCTCAGGTGATCCACCCCTCGGCCTCCCACAGTGCTGGGACTACAGGTGTGAGCCACCACATCCAGCAACAATTATTATATCCTCTTGATGAATTGACGTTTTTGTCATTATATATCAACCTGCTTTGTCTCTTTTCACAGTTTTTGATTTAACATCTCATTACTAAGAGTTGCTTAGTACCCTGTGCCCTCTTTTGGTTTCTCTTTGCGTGAATCTTTTTCCATCCCTTTAGTTCCAGTCTATTTGTATCCTTTCAGGTGAGGCAAATCTCTTATAGGTAGCATTTAATTGGACTATTAAAAATCTTTTCAACCCCTCTATTTATTTACATTAGATAATGTAATCCACTTACATTCAGAGGAATTATTGATAGGTAAAGACCTACTACTGCCATTTTATTAATTATCTTCCGGTTGGGCCAGGCACAGTGACTCACATCTATAATCACAGCACTTTGAAATGCTGAGGCGGGTGGATTCCTCGAGCTCAGGAGTTCAAGACCAGCCTGGGTAACGTGATAAAATCCCATCTCTACTAAAAATACAACTAGCTGGGCATGATGGTGCATGCCTGTGGTCCCAGCTATTTGGGAGGCTGAGGTGGGAGGATCACTGGAGCCTGGGAAGTCAAGGCTGCAAGTGAACTGTGATCGCATCACTGAACTCCAGTCTTGGTAACAAGGCAAGACCCTATTCTCAAGTAAGTTTAAAATTATCTTCTGGTTGTTTTGTAGATTCTTTGTTCCTTTCTTCCTCTTATTGTCTTTATGATTTCATAATTTTCGGTAGTGGTATGCTTTGATTCCTTTCTCTTTATCTTCTGTGCATCTACTATAGATTTTTGCTTTGTGGTTATTATGAAACATTTTGTAACAGTTTAAGCTGATAATTTTAATTGCATACAAAAACTACATGTTTACTCCATTTTGGTTTTGATGTCAAAACGTATATCTTTTTATATTGTATATCCCTTAAAAATTATATTTTTAATAATTTTAACTTTTTATTACAAATAAGTGATTTTATATAACATAATTAAAGTTTTAGAGTATTCTGAATTATGTACTCACTTTTACCAGTGAGTTTTATAATTTATATGTTTTCATGTTACTAATTAGCATCCTTTCATTTCAGTTTGAAGAATTCTTTCGTTTTTTTTGTAAGGCAGGTCTAGTGGTGGTAAACTCCCTCCATTTTCCTTTTCTGGGAAAGTCTTCATCTCTCCTTAATTTCTGAAGAACAGCTTTGTCAGGTAAAGTATTCTGGGTTTACATTTTTTTTCTTTCAGCACTTTAAATGAATATTATTCCATTCTCTCTTGGCCTGCAAAGTTTCTGCTGAGAAATTCACTGATAGGCTTGAGAAGTTCCCCTGTATGTGAGGATCCTTTTTTATCTTGCTGCTTTAAAAAATTATCTTTCGACAATTTGCTTATGATATGTCTTCTTTTGGTTGAATCTAGCTAGAGATCTGAGATTCCTGTGCCTGGGTGTTTATATCTGAGATTGGGGAAGTTTTCAGACATTAATTCTTTAAATAAATTTTGTCTCTATTCTCCTTGAATTCTACAATGTACATGTTAGCTCTTTTGAAGATATCCCATAAATCTTGTAGGCTTTTCGCTCCTTTTTATTTTCTCCTCTGATCAAATATTTTCAAATATCCAGCGTTTGAGTTTACCAATTTGTTTTTCTGCTTGATCAGTTCTGTTAATAGTCTCTATTGTGCTTTTTCATTTTATTCATTGTATTATTTAGCTCCAGGTTGTTTGGTTCTTTTGAATTATTCCCACCCCTCTGTTAAACTTCTAGTTTTATTTGTATTGACTTTCTGATTTCATTGAGTTGTCTCTGTTCTCCTGTAGTTCACTGAGCTTCCTTAAAATAATTATTTTGATTTTTCTTTCTTTTTTTTTTTTTAAGACAACAGAAATATATTTTCTCACACTTCTGGAGGCTGGAAATACAAAATCAAGATGTTGGCAGGACAACACTCCCTCCAAGACTTCGAGAAGAAGATCCTTGCCTTTGAGCTTCTAATGGCGCCAGGCTTCCCTGGCATGTGGTTGCACAACTCCAATCTCAATCTCATCTTCCTGTGCTGTCTTGCCTGTGTCTATATGTCTCCGTCTTCATATGGCATTCTCCTCCCTGTGCCTCCATTTTCTCTTTTTTTTTTATTATTATACTTTAAGTTTTAGGGTACATGCACACAACGTGCAGGTTTGTTACATATGTATACATATGCCATGTTGGTGTGCTGCCTCCATTAACTCGTCATTTAGCATTAGGTATATCTCCTAATGCTATCCCTCCCCCCTCCCCCCACCCCACAAAAGTCTCCAGTGTGTGATGTTGCCCTTCCTGTGTCCATGTGTTCTCATTGTTCAATTCCCACCTATGAGTGAGAACATGCGGTGTTTGGTTCTTTGTCCTTGTGATAGTTTGCTGAGAATGATGGTTTCCAGTTTCATCCATGTCACTACAAAGGACATGAACTCATCATTTTTTATGGCTGCATAGTATTCCATGGTATATATGTGCCACATTTTCTTAATCCAGTCTATCGTTGTTGGACATTTAGGTTGGTTCCAAGTCTTTGCTATTGTGAATAGTGCCGCTATAAACATACGTGTGCATGTGTCTTTATAGCAGCATGATTTATAATCCTTTGGGTATATACCCAGTAATGGGATGGCTGGGTCAAATGGTATTTCTAGTTCTAGATCCCTGAGGAATCGCCACACTGACTTCCACAATGGTTGAACTAGTTTACAGTCCCACCAACAGTATTTTGATTTTTCTTTGTCAGGCAATTCATAGATCTCCATTTTGGAAAGATTGATTATTGGAAAACTATGGCATTCCTTTGGTGGTATGTTTCTTTGTTTTTTCATTTTTCTTATTGCCTTGTGTTGAGGTCTGTGCATTTGATGGAATAATCATCTCTTTCAGACTTTATAGACTGGTTTTGGTGGGAAAAGGCCCTACGCTATGGCTACATTCTAGGACACTGACTGGGTGGGGTGCAGTGGTTCTGGCTCCAGTGAGGGTGCAGCAGCATAACCTCCATCCAGGTCTGTCAGCTGAGGTTGGCATTAGCAAAGAGTGAAGTGGTCTTCTGCAGCCAGTGCTGTAGGCTTCAGTAGCAGTGAGGGCTGTTGGAATGTTGTGGTGAAGTCTACTGATTTCCTCCTGATTTTTTATTCCACCATGGAAATTGTGGCCAAGGAAATCCCCTCTTGGTTCTGAGTCCAACTTATGGGTGCTTGCAGTGGCACTGATGTCTAATGTGTGACACTCATGGAATGGTCACAGAGCCAGAAACTAGATGATTGGCGCATGTGAGGGACCACAGCTCTAAGGTCCAGGGCAGCAATGGCACTGGTGTCTCATTGATAATGGTGTGAGAGATGTGAGTGCTTTTGGAGCAGCCGCAGAGCTAGAGTCTGAAACATATGTGTATATAGACCTATAGCATCTCCAGAGTTCAGCATATGGGCTAACTCACTGTGGGAGCAGAGCCAGTGTCTGGAGTTCAGGTATGCCCAGAGAGACCATAGCTCCATGGCCCAGGGTGTGGACTAGCTCATTACAGTGGTAGCTGCAGTTTCTGAGGCACAGGTGTGTATGGTGCAGCCAGAGAGCCAGGTCTGGAGTGCAGACACACGAGATGCTGCATCACCTCCAAGATCTGGGGCTGGCTCACTGTTGAGGTGACTCAGGTATCAAAGGTATAGGCACTCATGGAGCAGCAATGGAGCTGGTGTCCTTAGTGTGGGTTCACACAGAGAAACCAAGGCTCCAAAACCCAGGGAAGGGCTCATATTCAGCAGTAGGATTGTCAGTGTTTGAGGTGTGGACACATGCAGTATGGTTGCAGACCCAAGGACTGGAATGCAGGTACTTACATAACAGCTGTGGAGCTGGGGTCTGGATTACTGACATACACAAGAGTGACTTAGGTCCAGGGTCTGAAGTACATGCCAGGTTTGGAAAGGTGGTGGCCCCAGTCCCAGGGCAGCTCAACTGGGTGCTTGTGGAGGGTGGGGGAAGGTGCAATATCATCTCCTTTATCAGGAGAGGGGATCAACAACAGGAATTGCTTTAGTAACCTCAGTAAAGAAAGATGCCAGTGTCCTCTGCAAAAGCAGCCATTGGGTACCACAGTGGCACCTCGCATATAGTTGATCCTGATAGCATCTCTCTTTTTCTTTGATCCTAGCCATCTCTAGACACCTCAGGATCTCCCCAACAATCCTTTGTGTACTTATTCTCCATTTTTGCTCCACTGTGTTGTTGTAGATTCTTAATTGGGCTCTTGAGCCCTCCCCAAGGCTAATTTTGTTCATGGATCACTGCCTATTTGTTCGTTTTTGTGGGGGGATGAACACTGGTCTCTCTCACTCTGCCATCATGCTAATGTCACTTTCTCACTGAGGTCATCTTAATTTTATGCTCTTGGTCTCCAGAACCATGAGATAATAAATTTCTGCTGTTTTAAGCCACCTAGATTATGGTGCTTTGTTATAGCAGCCCTGGCAAACTAAAACATAAATACATTTAGTCACATCTTGTGCTTCAGTACAAGGCTTTGTGCACCCCTAATCTATTTCAGAGCATTGACTTTATAGCTGAACACTGAGGGAAATCCGTTTCTCTTTTTCTAGTTTTTTTTTTTTATTTGGAGCTCCTCGTATTTGACCCAAATTACTTCCTACACCTGGGAGAGCAGACATTTTTCTATAAGAAATGTTTATTTCCTGTCTATTCCATAAATGGTTTTTAGAAAAGTTTATACAAGATACTGTGTCTTGTGCAAGAGGACACTTACTAAAAAATATGTGGAAGTACTTTTCCTTAGACATCTCTAACACACAGAGTTCTCTCTTCCATGGGCATACAGTGGGTTAAGAAACCAAAGCCCTCACCTCCAAAGGCCGTTAGTTTCTATGACTGTGATTTACTGTACTACCCATTAACCTTCACACCTGGAACCGGCCCATGCTCCTCCCTCAAATCAGACACAACCCACGTAGATCAACATCCTTAAAGAAACATGGCAACTCACACTAGTTCTGGCTCAGTCACTGGTAAATAGCAGTGGTGATGATGACAGGGGTCTTTGGCTTTTTAAGCCCTAAACTTAGCTCAAGAATTTTGATTCATAGCTGGACACAAAATACTGTGTGAATGCTGATTAGCAGGTGGTACCATCAGGTGGATGAATTGCTTATGCTTTCTCCATAGCTATTCACAGTTCATTTTCCCTTCAGAATTTTTAGGTAAGAGTTTGGAACTCTTGCATGTTTGGGTTTCAGATTCTGGAAAGCATGCAATGAAATTTTTTGGCACTCTCTACTGAGTGATTTATGTGCTGCTCCCATTGGATAATTCGTTTTACGCATGTGTGACAGGGCTGGTGCTGGACTTCTGCTTTGGAAACCCTTGCTTCAAATTTGCATGTGTTGGCCCTTCTGGATCCTTCAACTTTACATTTGGCTGAAAAAACCCATCCCAAGAGACAGGTACACTACATTCTGCGATAAAGAATCCTGAGATCCTTTCCCTCCTCTTTTCCGTTGGGAAGAATAATTAAGTAGCAAAAAATAGAAACTTTGCTTCTTAATATAGGAACACCGATTCAGAGATTGGCAGAGAAAATACCCAGCTAAAATAACTTGGAAATATGTTGGAAATTTCTTACAGGAACATGATGTATGGAGACAAGATAATTGAAACAAGAATCGCTGAGGCCTCCAACAAGCAGCAGAGCAGCAATCTCTGCTAAGGCATTTGCTTGGAGTTTGTCTTTGATTATAGATGACTAGTGATGCTTCTAGTTCTGAAAATGGACATTGCCTGTGTTAAACAGAAAGAAGGACTGCAAACAGATCATTTGCAAGTTACCCTGAAGGTAGCAATGTTTAAGCATCAGCCCTCTTGAAATAATTTTTTTAGAGCCATTCTCTTGGACAGTTGCAAATTAGCTAGATTCATTAGTAGTATCAGTCCCAATGTCTTATAATTTTTGAGTTGGAAGATGGAAGAGACATTTTGTTGGGTTTTAAATAGGCTGTTGAATCTAGTCAATGTGCCACTACTGTCAGAGGATAAGATAATATAGTCTCAGTCCTTCATTATTAGCGGAGGGCCCTGCAGGGTGAAGAGCCAAACCCACAGTGCAATATCAGAACACCAGTGCTAACAGAGTTCACATCTGGAAGCATGGCTGGCTTCAAAAGGAACCCTGGATTCACACAGAAGAACTGAGTCTAGCTTATTAATCTTTCTTTATGGTATTAAATGATTTTATAGTAGTCAGCCACATGCTTTGTGTCATGGAATAGACAGATAGACCCAGATCCATCCCTCAGTAACAGTAAAGATAAATCTAGGTGCTTTTGAGAGGGCATTATAGGAATGAGGGTCCATGCCTCAGACAGACAGCATGTTGAAAAGAGTTTAGCCAAAGAGAATGTAGTGAAGAAACAGAGATAAGCGGCCTGTCACAAGATGTTAAAGTGCTCAGGGACTAGCAACAGTGGGAACCTGTTACTACTCCTGATCCTGAAGGTCACAGGGAGGCAATGGTGTTATTGAAGCCAGGAGAATTGAAGTGATGGAAGAGGGGCACCTGGCCAGTCCTTTTGCCATAGATAATTTTGTTGTTGTGACAGAGTTTTTGCTCTGTTGCCCAGGCTGGGGTGCAATGGTGTGATCTTGGCTCACTGCAACCTCCACCACCTGGGGTCAAGCGATTCTTGTGCCTCAGCCTCCTGAGTAGCTGGGGATACCGGCACCCACCACCACACCCAGCTAATTTTTGTATTTTTAGTACAGACAAGGTTTCACCATACTGGCCAGGCTGGTCTCAAACTGTTGACCTCAGGTGATCCCCCCGCCTCAGCCTCCCAAAGTGCTGGGATTACAGGCGGGAGCCACCACGCCCGGCCGCCATAGATGTTTGAGCCACTTCCACAACTGCTATGAGGCAAGCAGGCACTAGAGGAATAAATACTTGGCCACTCTCATTTTACTTCCCAGCCTGCAGTCTCCTGAAGATGCCCCACCTTTTACCCAAACTCATGGAAAGTACTGGACAAACGTTCCCTGGGGATGCTGTCTGTATATGGCAGCCTCTTTAGTAGAGTGGAAAATGGATTTGGGGTTGAAGAAGAGGCAGACAGAAAATGATGTTTGGCACAGGCATCTAAAAATGAAACAAGCCTCTCTCCTTTACATAAGGTGTGACCATAGATTACCTTGAGGTGAATCACTTTTGTTCTGGTTAAGATCACTTACATCACTCACTGACCCTCCTCCAATACCTATGCTCACCCTATTCACTATGTTCATGTAGGGTAGATAGATATTCCTTGCTGGGGGAGGGGAAAATAATAAGAAAGACTGCAGTTGCCGGAAAGATATAGAACTTGAAATAAACCTTGGTATGGAAATGTGGTTTCTGAAGAAGAAAAAATATACTAGTTTACAAAGAGGACTCCTAAAGGGAAGCTAGCCAGAACGACAGAAGGCACCTGGGCTAATGACAAGGGCCTCCTGGATTGATGTTCCAATAGGAAAGCGATTTTGCACCATGACTGACCAAAGTAGAAGACTCTCCAGATCTAGCCACTGAGAGCCAGCAGTGTATGTGAGGAACAGTGGCTGAGTGTGGGAATATGAGCCAGAGTTGTGGTCTTGGCACCAAACATAGCTCACTGCTATTAACTGGGCAGGGACCTGGACCAGCAAGAATATCCCAGATGCAGTGGACAATTACCCATCCAACTGGCATAACCTGTGTTCAATTACAAAGGCAACTGGCAGCAAGAAATAACAGCAAGTGAACTGATCAGAATCAGATCCCTTCTGCATGTGCACCACAGACTGGGGAAGTGGCCTATTATATCAGCTTTCAGGAGCCTTCTGCTCAGATAGGAAGACAAGACTCACATAGAGAACAACACGAGAAAGTGTACAAAATTGCTTTTATGTGCCAAAGGATTTCAGGGACTGGAGAGATTGTTATGGATGGTCACAGGAGGCTCATGGAGGCTGCGACTGAGCCCAAAAGAACGAAGACTGCTTAGGAAGGCAGAGGAGAGTGTTAGGAGAAAGCCACATTCCATGCAAAGGTTTCCTAGGTGCAAATGCATAAAGCATGCTGGGAAGCTGAGAGTAACTCATCTGGCTAGAGAAGACTGCACTGAACACATCTGAGGGAGAGAGGTGATGAAAACACTGTTTAAAGAAAATCATTCCTTGTGGATGCCAGATGGAGTACATTGGGAAACAACTGGAGGTAAGGAGACGAGCTAGAAAACTGTTGGCTGGGCAATAGTGTGGGCATGAAGGGATAAGGGCTCAGACTGGTGGGGATAGAAGACAGGCTGACTCAGGAGACACTGACTGATAAGCAATGATTAACAGGCCTTGATGACTAATTGAAAGTTGAGGGGTAAGCCAGGCACGGTGGCTCACACCTGTAATCCCAGCACTTTGGGAGGCCCAGGTTGGCAGATCACAAGGTCAGGAGATCAAGACCATCCTGGCTAACAAAGTGAAACCCTGTCTCTACTAAAAATACAAAAAAATAATTAGCTGGGCATGGTGGTGGGCGCCTGTAGTCCCAGCTACTTGGGAGGCTGAGGCAGGATAATGGCATGGCGCGAACCTGGGAGGCAGAGCTTATAGTAAGCCAAGATCGCACCACTGCACTCCAGCCTGGGCAACAGAGCGAGGCTCCATCTCAAAAAAAAAAAAAAAAAAAAAAAAGAAGAAAAAAAAAAGAAAGAAAAAAGAAAGTGGAGGGGTGGGAGGCATTGAGAAGAGGAGGAACCAATAATGAACATAAGGTTTGCAGCCTTACTGACACAGAAAAGGACGGTATTATAAAGAGATATGACAAGTTAGTTGGGTGGGGGACCTAATAATTTAGTGAAATAAATATGAATTTAATGCTTTAGTAAATTGTCTGGGAAGATAGTCACTGGAGATATTCTTCTACAGATAAATCCTTCACCTGGGCTCAAGAGAGCTCATTAAATGACACTACTGCCCACCGTTTTCTCAAACCCAAAACCTAAGAATCATCCTTATCAACTCTTTCTCCATTACTCTCAAAATTAAATCAGTGTCCAAAACCTATTAATTTTACTTTTATTTTCTCTTAAATCCACCCACTTGCCCCAGTCCCATACTCTCTACCTTACAGTAGACCACCCTCATTTTTCACCTCAAATCAGCCATGATCTCCCCTTCAATCACTTTCCACAAGAAAACCACCAAGTTCTTTCTGAATTAAACATCTGACCCTGCCATCTGCTGATTTTATACCTCTGGTGGCTCCCTCAGGATAAAGCCTTAACAGAACATAACAGTCTTCTCATAGTTGATGCCTATTTCATTCTCTGCCCTCATCCCTCATCGTTCTATGGTTCACATTCTGTGTCCAGCCATATCGAGCTATTTACATTTCCTTAGATGTGTCAACCTCTCTCACTTCCAGTCTTGCACAACTGCCCCTCTGTTTGGAGTGTCTTTGACACTGCATCATTCTTCACATTTAATGTCAAAATAGCCCTTCTTCCGGGAGCCTTTGCTGACCCTCCAATGCCAGATTAGGTAACTCTTCTTTGTGCTTCTTTAACACTTTATTCACTCCTCTAGCATAATTGGTATCATTATGTACAGTGAATTGCTTATTTATCTGACTCCTACTCTAAACATATGTGCTGAGCCATTTAAAAAACCTATTTGTTTAATTAGTAAATAAATAGCACAAATAGAAACATGGTTTTGTGAATATTTAAATCAATTAGACAAGCAAACATTGAGTACCTGCTATTTGCCATGCCCTATGCTGGGAGTGGGGAATAAACTGGCAAATACACTCCTGCAAACAAGTGTGCAATCTCATATCATAGAGTCAGTGGTAAGTCAGCAGATATCATGAAGGTGCTCAGTAATACTGAAGAATCAGAAGGGCACAATCAAAAGGGCCTTTACTTAAAACTCAGACTGAGATTCAAGTTCTTTCTCAAATTCATTTTTATAGAGTCTTTAACAAGATGCTTAACCTCTTTAACCCAGTCCTTTTATTTATGTTGAGGATATAAGTCTGATTTTGTATCTTATTTTGATTAAATAACAACTCTGGATGTCATGCAGTACCTGCTCAATAAATGCTATTTCCTTTCCTTTATGTGTGTTCTTATATTTATGCTTTTACTTGTTTGGAACTTAAAATATCTTCAGACTTATCTTGTTAAAATATAACTAAGGTCAAGGGATAGGTACAGGGTAGAATTTAATTGAGAACTTTTGTTGGAGGGAAGAAGGAAATGGACTCTGGGAAGTGAGACTAATACTGTTAGAGAAGAGAGAATGTCCCAGAAATTGAGACTTGGAGACTAAGACTGCTTCTCCGGCCAGCGATGCATGTGCAGGGGAGGGAGAAGAGGGATCCAACTGGCATGTTTGCCAATGGCTGACATTAGCCTACTAACTTGGAAATCACGAAGAGTTTCAAAGTCTGTAAGTGTTTTCCAGCCACAGTGAATCCAATTCCTTCACATCCCTAATGCATTTTCTCCTTCCTTCCGACCAGCTCCAGAGGACTTCAGTGTGACAGACACATGAGCAACAGCAAGAGCAGAGCAAGGCTGAAGTCTAGCCCTGCTTCTAGCTAACTGTATACCTTTCACAGCATCTTCATTTTCTTTATTCAATCAGTTGTTTTCCTGCCCCTCAATGATAAGCAGTTTGGGATCTCTGCTAAATTTCTTAGGGAATTATGTGCTCCTGTGCATCTGCTGTGTTTGTGTCCTCTTCTCACTGTCATTTCCAAAACAAGGTTTCAATATAGTGCTGGGATATCCCCTGTGAGCAACAGTGAGCAATATCCCCTGCCTGCAACTGAATAAGAGTAAAGAAAAAAACAAGTGAAACAAAAATCACATCAAAAGCAAATGAAGGGCCAGTCACAGTGGCTCACGCCTGTAATCCCAACACTTTGGGAGACTGATGCAGGCAGATCACTTGAGGTCAAGAGTTTGAGACCAGCCTGGCCAAGATGGCAAAAATCCATCTTTACCAAAAATGCAAAAATTAGCCAGGCCTGGTGGCACATGCCTGTAGTTCCACCAACTCCGGAGCCTAAGGCAAGAGAATCGCTTGAACCCAGCAGGTGGAGGTTGCAGTGAGCCAAGATTGCTCCACTGCATTCCAGCCTGGGTGACAGAGTGAGACTCTGTCTCGAAAAAAGGAAAAAAAAAGCAAATGAAGAAAGGAAGAAAACAATTGGACTCTATTGGACTCTATTTACAGATGGGATGAGTATTTATATAGGAAATTCCAAGGAATCTGTGCAATAACTACTAAAATCAATATGAAATTAGCAAGGTTGCAGAATGTAAAGTTAATACCAGAAAAGATTGTATTTTTGTATATTAGCAGTAAACAATTGGAAAACTAAATTTTAAAGATGTGATCTGCAAGAGTAAAAAAGTAAAAACTACTTAGGAATATATTTAAGGTGTGTGAGCACTCCTCACAGAAAACTACAAAACACTGCTGAGAGAAATGATGGAAGAATCTCATAAATGGAGAAATAACACATGTATAAATGTATTGGAAGATTCCAAGTCATAGTTCGTTGGAAGAATCAATTGTCGAGATGTCAGTTCTACCCAAATTGATCTATGGATTCAGAGCAATCCCAGCCAATATTTCAACAGGCATTCAGTGAAACACTGAAATTGACAAGCTGATTCTAAAATTTATTTAGAAATTAGATGGATCTAGAATAGCCAAAACATTTTGAAAAAGAACAAAATGGAGAACTTGTACCCATCTACAGTAATCAAGGCAGTGTTGTATTGACATAAAGGTTGCTATCTGAAACAATGAAACGTAATAGAGTCCAGAAATAGATCTACATTTATATGGCCAATTGACATTTAATAAATGTGGCAAGGAGATTCAATGGTCCTGAAACAATTAGATATCCATACTTAAAAATAATCTCAATTCTTACCTCAAACTGCATACAGAAATTAACTCAAAATTATCATAGGCCTAAGTTAAAGCCTAATGCAATAAAATTCCTAGAAGAAAATAATGGAGAAATTTTATGACCTTGGGTTTTCTAAAGACTTCTTAGCTAGGACAAAAAACAATGAACTCTAAAGTAAAACAGGCTTACCAAAATTAAAAACTTTTGCTCTTTGAAAAACACATTGTTAAGCATATGAAAAAACAACCCACAGAGTAGTAGAAAAAGTTTCAAAGTATGTCATCAACAAAGGACCTGTCTCCAGACTATATAAAGACCCCTTACACCTTCATAATAGGAAAGCAAAGAATTCAATAAGAAATGAACAGTTTGAACAGACATTTCACTAATGAAGGTATATAAGTGGCATAAAGAGATGTAAAGCACATTATTCATCAGGGAAATTGAAATAAAACTACGATATGCCACTATCCATCCATTAGAATGACTATAATTAAAAAGATGAACAATACCAAATGTAAGTGACAATGTCAAGCAACTGGAACTCTCATACTTCGCCTGTGGGCATGTATTATGGTACCATCACTTTGAAAAAGCTGTTTTGCAATTTCTTGAAAAGTTAAACATATGACACAGACATTCCACTCCCAAATATTTACACAAAAGAAATGAAAACATATGTCCAAAGACCTGTATACAAATATTTATAGAAGCTTTATGCAAAATAATCAAAAATTGGAAACTATTGCAACTTTCTGTACTAGAAGCAAAATTGGAAATAATATATATGTCCACCAACAGGTGCTGGATAAACAAAAAGGGGTGCATCCATACAATGGGATATTATTCAACAATTTCTAAAACTACTAATTTACACACAAAGAAATGAATTAATGCCAAAATCATTATGTTGAATGTAAGAATTCAGAAATAAGAATATGATCCCATTTATACACAATCCTAGACAATGCAAAAAAGCTGTGACAATAAAGCAGATCAGAGTTGCCTGGGGCCAAGGGTAAAGGGAGGGATGGAAAGAAAGGAGTCAAGGAAGTAGTTTTGGAAGATAGAAATATTCTCTTGATTGTGGCAGTGGTTTAACAAGTATACACACCAAGTTGTACATTTTCAATGAATGCAGTTTATTGTACACAAATAATACCTCAATAAAGTTGATTTTAAAACAAAGGACAAGGAGCCCAATCCTTTATCTCTGCAAGCTAATCTCTGGAATTTGGACTCAAATTTTCTTTCTAAATAACACAAATGCCCTCACCAGGCTCATATAATGAAGGACTCATTCCATGTCTATTTTCCTTTCCTTCCTCTTATACATAACTCCACGTTCCACTCACTTGACATTCTCCTCAAAAGAAAAGCAGAAGGTCCCTTTCAACAAATGCAAAATACCCAAGTGTTCCTACCGCAATGAGTGTATATGGTGCATGTTACATCCTTTCCCCAAAAACCACCCTTAATATGGAGGGCTATATAGGGAGGCAAGTAGGTATATATAACCAAATGATCAGAAAGTTAAATAAATTGTAGAAGGAATGTAACTGTTAATCTATGGTCATATGTGAATCATGCCACTTTAGGGTGGACTATTGAGGGAAGGAGGGGATAATTTGCAGATCAGCTGAAACGACATTGGTCTACATGGCTCCATAGATATCCTGCCCACCCTCACATCTAGGTCACCTGCTACATGCAGGGTCAGCTAAGCAAGCACATTTCCTTCAATTTAGTGAGTATTTTTTTCTCATGGAGAGTCCTTAAAGCTGCAGTAAGTCAGCCTGACTAATTTGCTGCAATCCCAAAGCCAGTCACAGTAATTCCTTCTGATCCCAGAAAGGTACATCCAGTACCCAGAGAAGTTTTCTGTTACTGTCATTTACATACCCAGTCCTATTATCTTGACCAGCCAATGGGTTATATTTGTGTAGGATCTGAGTTCTGCTACTCTTTAGTGTCAACAGTATTTGCTGACTCTGAGACAGATCACTGCCATTGAAGTGGGGGTCTTGTTAACCTCTGTCTTCTACTGATGGCCAGCTGGTATTGTTTCTGAGCTAAAGCCTTGGAACCCTGAAATTTCATTGAATACAATCATAATGTATTTAATTCCTGCCAGTTGCCCTCTGGTCAGAAAGCATAATTAAAGTGTCTACAGATGGTACTGGCAAGGTTTCTAGAAGTAGTAGACACCAGCAGTGACTGCACAGCTATATGAAATTAAAAACTGTTTTGATACACACCATATGCACAAATATGAATGCACCAGGGAACATGGAACTCTTTGCATTATATGGGCACTGGATGCTATGGAATATGAATGAGGGCCAATCAGAGAAATGCACTGGAAAGTAAAGGAGAAACACAAATCAAAATCTTAACCCAGGAGACTCGGTGCCCAGACGAAGTGGGATACACTTTGGTTAAGAAAACATGGAGAAAACAGACGCAAGGTTTAAAACTCAAAGAAGACTGTTCATGAAGCATCTGGGAAGATGGCAATACCTCTTTTCTAGAGACTTTAAAAGGTATTAGATGTCCTGCTTTCAGCCAGAGAGAGAGAGACTAAATTACCTATGATAAGCCAAAGTCTTGATTTTAACAGCAAACCCAGCACTGTGGTTTTCACTTTGTGAGGGTTGTAGATTTGCAGAACATTGTAGGAGCAAGGAGAATGATTCTTACACCCATGTAATAAATTAGTGATGAGGTTAGACTAGTAGAAAAATGAAAGATCAATGGGAACCTTTGAAAGGACAGATGCAGCAGCTGAGGCACACTGGGCTAAATGACCTTTCGAAGTCCTTTTACATGGGGTCTTTCAGTATATTTTTGTTGAACAGATTTTGTTTAACAGATTCTATAAAGATGTCAAGGAAACCTGTCTACCAGTTGTTTTAGCTAAAATTTCATTTAAAAAATTATATATAAGACCTTTACTGTTCAAGATTCAGTATGTCTTCAAGGAGCCCAATCCTGGAATGAAAATTGAAAATCTTTTCAGCCATTTCCTGAATACTGGGACAATCTACTGTTCAGTTTTAATTCATACGTTTAGCATTTTTTGGATCGGCCTTCTTCCTGGTTTCATGAACCATTAGGGAACCCCTCCTTTCAGCTATGTAATCCAGTGTGACCCCTTAATGAACCAGGGTACAAGCTAGTTCTCACACACTTTCAATGAACTCTTTTCCAGTTCAGAGAACATTTCCTCCAAAAAGAATTAATAGTAAGAAACCCATGAAGGATTTCTCTTGTCTGAGTCAGCCTGCCACTAATGCTAAGTATGGGCAGGGCCTGCTCTAGGGTTACCTGGTCTGCAACTCTAAGCAATGCTAGGGTTTTGGAATAAGCATAAATAATGCCCCGTCCCCCTACCTCGAGTTTGGAAGCAAATCAGATATAGACAAGAAAAGGGTCAAGACAAACAACACCGGGAGTGGCACATAATTGTTCTCCGAGCTAGAGAATTATCAACAGAACTTTTCCTTTGGCTCAGGTTAGATTTCAGAAGGTATTCCTGTAAGTGAAAGTTAATATTAGAGTTCTGAGAGTGATCTAAATCTTTTTAAATCCTAAAATCTGAAGCTGTCTCTTTCGGGTAACCATTGAAATTTATGTTCTAGGCTGCAATCTTCGACTTAAACTATTTTAAAAGACCAACATCACACTTTTTCATACTCCCTGTAATTATTAGTTCTATTCAAAACTACTTTTCTCACTCTTTTTTGTAGACACTTTTTTAAGTGAGCAGAATTTTCGAGGGCCTTGGGCCTCACTGATAGCTTATATAATAAATAAGTGGGTGAGACAGTATGAAGTTGACCTGGCATTCATGAGTCACACTAAAGAATGAATGCTTTATAATTTGTTCCCACCTTTTTTTCTTGAAGTTTGGTATCTAACTTTTTTGTTGTGACACTTCCTATCCTATATGTCAATTTACAATTCTATTTCATTCCTATATCAGTATCTGATACATAAAAGGTATTCAGTAAAGGATTGAATAAATACATTTTCTACATTGAGCAGCAAATTAAACATTTACTATGTCTACGTTACTAGGAACCAGAAGAATTTCCGTAAGACAATCTTTGGGCAGTATTGTTTTCTTTTTACTGGACTAATATACCTTTAGATTCTTCCTTCCATCTTTTTCCAGCAATAATGAGAATCTATTGCATGATTTTCTTTAGAGTATTCTCAAGGCTTCCCCCAAAGTCCCACCCACTCCTCAGATGACCACTACACACACCTATGCATGTATCAGAGCCTTTTTGAGGAGCTAACACACAGCTCAAGATTTAGAAACTATGCTATTTTGGGCCAGGCACGGTGGTGGCTCATATCTGTAGTCCCAGCACTTTGAGAGGCCGAGGAGGGTGGATCACTTCAGGTCAGGAATTTGAGATCAGCCTAGCCAGCATGGTGAAATCCTGTCTCTACTACAAATACAAAAATTATCTGGATGTGGTGGTGCATGCCTGTAATCTTAGGTACTTGGAAGGCTGAGGCATGAGAATCCCTTGAACCCAGGAGGCGGAGTTTGCAGTGAGCCAATATCACAACACTGCACTCCAGCCTGGGCAACAGAGTGAGACTGTCTCAAAAATAAATAAATAAAACTATGCTATTTTGTGCTACAACTCAAATTTACTACCTTAAGAAGGTTCAAAGCTACTTGTTCCTTCAGCACAAAAATCCATGTTCTTCCCACTCCTTTACCCTCAGAAAAAGAGGGAGCAGTGTAGAAATAGAGGATCTGTAACAATTAGGATGCTGGATGGATACAGCTGGAGGCCAGTATCCTAAGCAAACTAACGAGAAACAGGAAAGCAAACACCACATGTTCTGACTTGTAAGTGGGAGCTAAACATTGGGTGCATGTGGACATAAAGATGAGAACAATAGACACTGGAGAATACAAGAGCAGGAGGGTGGGAACCAAGGGACAGAAAACTACCTGTTGGGTACTACGCTCACTACCCCAGGCGATTCATACGTGAAACCTCAGCATCACACAATGTATCTTGGAAACAAATCTGCACATGTACCCTCTGAATCTAAACTAAACTTTGAGGAAAAAAAATTGGGCCATTGGATCAGATATGGCTTAACTACTGAGTACCCAAGGTTTTGTTTTTTACTGTTCTATCCTATCACTCAAAGAAGGAAGAGAACTTTGACCACTCTTCCTGAGAGTAATTAATGATTGATTTGCTATGCTTGGAATGTGTAATGGAGTGAACTCCAGAGAATGTACCTATCCTTGTCAGTAGGCAAAAGAAAATGTGCAGATCATTCAAGAAAATAATCTGATTGGGTATCTCACCAATGACCGTGAGTGCTGTTTTGGGGGTAAAGCCTGCTCTGAAATTCAACCCTAAGCAGAAATTGTTTTAAAAGACAGGCAAAGATACAGCCAAAGAAAAACCTTCCTTATCAAGTGTGTATTTGTAAAAATTCCACATATCTTCCTTTGCAGACGTATTCTTTGGCAATGACTCTCATTCTGTCTCTGATGTTCATTAGATTATATGACCTTGGGTGAATCAATAGCCTATAAAATAACTCAAAACGTTGTTTTCAAGATTACGTAAATCCAAAGATGTCAGACATTTAGCATCACTTCTGGCGTACCAAAGCTTTTTATTAAATACTAGTTTTATTTTCTCTTTTCTCCATATGTGGCATTTTAAATGTATTTTGTATACCACTTGGAATTTTATATAAGCTTTGGGAAAATACACTTGAATATTTGTGTTTTACAAGTATGTGGAAGAATCCACTTCCGCGGCCCACCCCACTTACATGATGAACAAAAGCACATAACGTTGTGTGAAAATCTGGGCCAGAGCGCTTTTGCAGGCCTTGAGGCTAGTTAAGTATTCCTCGCACTGCAACACCTTGTTCTGCTTCCCCTGATCAAAGCGACTGCAGGTTAAAACAAGCATGCAGAGCACTTTCAGAATCTTGAGCAGTCGTTGGTATCAAAAAAAATTATCATCTATATTACCTTCCTCTAATAGTGTACTTAAGAATGAAAGTACACTTGGATGAATTTCAACTGAGAAGAAGCCCCTAAGAAATGAGGATTGTGCCAGTTCTAAAATTTGTGTACATGCAGTGAGATTTTCTGCCATATTTTTGATATGAAAAACTGAGGTGAATAACAGAACAACAACAAAAAAGCATTATTTAGGCCAGACGTGGTGGCTCACGCTTGTAATCATAGCACTTTGAGAGGCTGAGGTGGGCAGATCACCTGAGGTCTGGAATTTGAGACCAGCCTGGCCAATATGGTGAAACCGTGTCTTTACTAAAAATATAAAAATTAGCCAGGCATGGTGGCACATGCCCGTAATCCCAGCTACTCGGGAGGCTGAGGCAGGAGAACTGAACCTGGGAGGTGGAGGTTGCAGTGAGTAGAGATCACATCATTGCACTCCAACCTGAGTGACAAAAGCAAGACTCAGTCTAAAAAAAACAAAAACAACAACAACAACAAAAAAAAACTCTTTAAATTTATTTTTTTCTGTGCAGGAAGAGATGTCATTGTGTATTTTAAAAGCTCTAATCACTCTGGCTAAATGATAGCACAGCTAATGAACCACATTGGGACCAAGGTAGATGTCTTTTTGTTTCGGGTGAGAGTTTAATGCATCAAGGCCTTCAAAGAAACCACTTCCTAAAGAGTGATGTATTTCCCACTCCTTCAGACTCATCTATCAGCCAAGAACCCATTCATGTGTTGGTGTCATCTGCAAGGAAAAGATTATCCTAGGTGTAATAGTTAGGGATGACACCCAGGTGCCTTCATGACATTTAATTTTCAGCCACCTCCTTCATTGTTACAGAAGCTGCCTCCCACCAGGAGGAGCGAAAACATCTGACAGTTGCATTGCAGCCTTCCTTTGGGCTTGGCCATAGGCATGTAAGCCAATTCTGGCCAATGATTATTAAGATGAAGTCTTCTAGGGTAGAAATCCTTAGGAAAGATTTCTTTTCTCATGTTGAAAAGATATGTACAACACAAAACTGCTCTTCCTTCTTTTCTCTGAATATATTTACATGAAGACATGATATATGGAGATACAACAGCTATGTTGAAAACATAACAGGACAAACCTGAAAGTGAAAGCCAACACACTGAGGATGTCCCAGCAGAAAGATGATGGGAACACCTGGGTCCTGGATGACATCATCTTAGCTACAGACCTCTTGTTAAGTAAACCCATAAATTTCCTTATGGTTTGAGCTATTTTAATTAAGGTATACTTTACTTAGGACCTAAAACATCCCAATTGATATAATAATTCTTTGTCAGAGGGTGAAAAACTGCTTCAATCAAGGCTAGTAAAGCTTGGGAAAAGAGTTAGATTTCCATGTGATGTGACTGAAAATGCTATTGAAACACATGCCCCTACCACGTGGCATTCCTTATCTGAAATTCCCACGGGTAGAGGCCCAATGATATTCATTCCACAAACAAACTTTGACCATTATGTGTAGGGTTGTCAGATAAATATTTGGGACCTATTTACACTAAAATTTTTTTCACTGTTTATCTGAAATCCAAATTTAACTGGACGTCCTGGGTTATCTGTCAAGTCTGGCAACCTTAAGTAAGTGCCAGGTCCTAGGCTCTGGGGATACATCACTATGCTTTACTACAAAGGAACTCATCTCCTTCAAGGCCTACAGGTGATTCTAACGTGCAGACTGGTTGCAGATCCACTGTCTTGGAAACTGATTCAACTCCATATTCTACAGTTAAGAAAACTGAAGCCAGAAGAGGTTGTGTGATTTGCCTAAAGGCACACAGCTGTTCAAAGGCAAAGGTGGCACTAGCTCCCACATTCAGAATTCTTTCCTGTGTACGTTTTTCTAGCTGCCTCTTCACTTCTGCTCCTAAAAGCTCTTTGTTTTAGGATGAAATGAGAGGCTACTTTTTTCTGACTTTGCAGAGAGAGGGAGGCTTATAATATAAATGGTCCGAGTTCCTTTAATGAGGAAGATGATCACATTTTAGTCACCTAAATGTTTTATGGCAGGAGAGTATTTTGAATAAGAAGGGAAAGACAAAAATTATAGAGCAAGTAAGTCTTGTCCAAGTCCACGGAAATACTTTCTTGAAGAGAAAATTTTCCAAATATTCTTTTATATAGTTTATATATATATATATATATATATATATATATATATATATATATATAAGTTTTATATATATCACATGTATATGTCATATGTATGATATGTAGCTTATTAGATATAGCTCATATAGGTGATCTATATAGCTCAAAGCTTCAGGATGACTTGCTTTAATTTATAAGAATCAGGCCAAGCGCAGTACCTTTTGTCTGTAATCCCAGCACTTTGGGAGGCTAAGGCAGGGGGGTCATCTGAGTCCAGAAGTTCGAGACCAGGCTGAGCAACACAGTGAGACCCCCCGGCCTCTACCAAAAAAAAAAAAAAAAAATTAGCCAGTCATGGTGGCATGCATCTGTAGTCTCAGCTACTCAGGAGGCTGAGGTGGGAGAATCATTTGAGCCCAGGAGGTAGAGGTTGCAGTAAGCCAAGATCACACCACTGCACTCTAGCCTGGGCAACAGAGGGAGACCTTGTCTCAAAAAGAAAAAAAAAAAGCACAAATAAAATTTACAAGTATCAATAAAGAAGGCTACTTTTCGCTTTTCCTTATTTCTTCTCAGGCATCTTTTGTAAATATTTTGATCAAGACTGACAAATTCCCAGTCTCCGTAAAGAATAAACTCTGCTTGAAGTTTAAAAAATAGTGATCATGATGACATGCCAGGGAAGAAGTCATTATTCTTCCTGAAACTGGGCATCACAGAATTTAAAGCTTTCTGGGTAGGGTGCTATATATCACATTCCAACTCAAAGATCACCAGGACAGAAGGTTCAGAAACTTCCTTTTCACCTAATCCAAGTCTCTCATTTGTTCAGAGTTTGTCTAAATCCTGAGTCTATCATTAATAAAGATAGAGGCTGGATTCGGTCAATTTTGCATAGATCTTAATCTAGCATAGGTTTCTTGTTAGTCTTTTCTTGTGGTTCCTATATGCCAAATCCAATTATCCTAAATGCAAATAAAGCAAACTTCGCTTTAATAAAAGTGATCCCAAAACATATTCCTAGAGCATTAGACTCTACTGTAGAAAATTGCATGAAATTTCAGAATCAAGATAAATTCACATGATCTTTGGAGTTCCTTATGATGGAACGTGACCCAAAAATCTCAACTCTTTAGCTCTAGGCTTCCTCCAGCAGCACATCCAATTTTGATGTACTGAGTCCTTTAAAGGCCATCAAGGTGACTGTAAGTTGCTGCATTTGTCACGGAATACTTTCACTGGGAGAGAAGCACATATTACCATATCACACGTAACAACTCTACATCTCAAGCTACCCTTACCACAGGCAGAGTCAATCTTAGAAAAATCTAAAGAAGCTCCTATTTGAAAATGGAAAAACAAAAAAGGATCAAGCAGTGTAGCTTCTACCTTTCCAATTATTCAGCTAAGTGATTCTCTCCATCTCCTCCAAGCTTCCTACATTGCAGCTGTTTCCAAAACTCAAATCTTTTCTCAAAATGAAGTGGCATCATTGTCTGGGGTAAGTACCCAGGGTTCATTGTCTGGCACCAAGAAGATTAAGGACACAGACACATGTGGGTGGGTTAAGGAGTAGAAAGTTTAATAGGCAGAAGAAAGGAGAGAGAAGAGCAGAGAGATATGTCCAAAAGGGAAAAGCCAGCCTGCGGCAAACTGCAACAGATTTTATAGGCAGGCTTGAGGAGGCAGTGTCTGATTTATGTAGGGCCCAGATTTGTTCAACCAGGTGTGACTTTTACAGAGCTTGCAGGAAAGGCCGGTTGCCCCACCCTAATCCTATTATACAAATGGGCTTTCCACTTGGCCAGCCCATCTTGTCTGCTCCTTACTGTACACGTGGCTGGCAAGGAGAAAGGGAAGATGGAGCTGCCATTTTGATCATGCCTAATCCCAGGTAGCCTTTTTCTACTGGCACAACTGCCGGCATTCACCCATGCAAGCTTCTAGCTTACTTGTCAATGTCTGTGGCTCCACTCTACAGGCTGCTCTTTGAAAAAGAAGAAAATGATTTTGGGGCTGATTTTCAGTAAAAGAAAAACCTTGCCAAGGCCTTCCTTACCCTCACTATCTGCCTAAATAATTTCTTTTTAACTCCTATATCAAAAAGACAAGAATTATCAAGATTCATCAAGAAGTGTTCTGAAAAGAGTTATGGAGTATGTGCCATTCTGTTATGCTTGTTGATGTTTTTAAAGTGAATCACATCACATTATAGTCTCACTTTGTGTCCATGACAGTATTATTCCACGATAAGTAGTTCTGTATTTGAAAAGTTAACAGTACACCCTTCAGACATCTACCTACTTGATGGTAGATTTTGTCTTACCTGCCTGGGCATGTTGTACTGAATTAAGGTCACAGTTACATAAATAACATTCCAAACATTTTTCTCCAACTGAATTAAAAGGGGCAGTTATAGCTTCTCCCTTTCCTATTGGTTAGCAACTCTGACCAGGGCCCGGGAGAGCTCTCCAGTCCTAGAATAGAGCAGTTGCTATTCACATGATCTCTGTGAAGGCATGACTCCCTCCCCTCTACCTCTCTGCACCCCTGCCCCTTAGTCAGCATGACTCAACACTTGTAAACTAGGCAATATGACTGAGAACTTTCTACTTGAACTTTGATTTCAGGAGAGTGGCATGTCTTAAAATGTTGACCATTTACTCATTAACTGGCAAGATAGAATTCCCCAAACTGTGAGGTAAAGTTTGAAGCTAAAATTTTAACACAGGAAGATTGTGTTAATTCTCTTAGGTGTCCTGAGGTCTATGAGATTTTGACTCTAGGTAATGAGATTATGATACATTATGTCTTTGGGGTACTTTTTCTTCTTTCCCAAGACTCCCTAGCTATTGGAAAGTAATCTCTTCCTTATTAGGCATGTCCACTTATAAAAATCATAAAATAATTGCTGATGAAGTATCTACTATTTCACCACTGTAAAGAGAGCCATTTGAAACCTATTAAGCAAGTGTCTCAAGCCTGTAATAAGAATATTCAAAGTATGAGGACAGGACATGAGCTGTGCTGACAGCTGAAGGTGCCAGTATATGTACTGAAGAAGGCATTTCCACCCATGACTCCAAGTGGCACCCATAGATTACTTTACTCTGAAAAGTATGAGCTTCTGATTTGGGTGTGCTCTTTCTTCCTCAAGGGATTAAAGAGAGGTAAAAGAGGTAAAGTGTCTCATTCTTTTTTTTTTTTTCTTTGAGATAGAATCTCTCTCTGTCACCCAGGCTGGAGTGCAGTGGTGTGATCTCGGCTCACTGCAACCTCTGCCTCCTGGATTCAAGTGATTCTCCTTCCTCAGCCTCCTGAGTAGCTGGGATTACTGGTGTGTGCCACCATTCCTGCCTAATTTTTTATATTTTTAGCAAAGACCAGGTTTTGCCATGTTGGCCAGACTGGTCTCAAATGATTCGCCTGCCTCAGCCTCCCAAAGCGTTGAGATTACAGGTGTGAGCCACTGCGCCCGGCCAAGTGTCTCCTTCTGTAATATAAAAGTGAGTAAAGTGAACAGGAAGAGGTGGGAATGTGCAGAGGGATGAATGAAGTGTTAGAATAAAACAGAAAAGCCAGTTTTTTTGGGGGTGGATAAATGCTTAGCACCCCTGTCAAAAGTCCTGGTTCTAAGTTCAGTTAGTTCCTGTCATAAAAATTAATAAGAATAATCCTTATATTATTTGTTATTATGATCTAAATTCCATTCATTTAAGTGTTCTGTTGCCAATAGCAATCCCAAAGAGGTGACAGAATAAGTAACCCTCTGAGTTAAACCTAAAATTATTTCATCATTGTCATTCTACCCAGCTTTTTTCAAAGCCATGTTTAATGCTGTCGTTGACATACTTATCTAAGCTTTTTTTGGAATGCACTTATCTCAAAGAAGTTAGGTAATTCAATTGAGTACAAAAATATGTTTAGTTTTCTTGATAAAGTATCTTTGACTTTTTGTTCTTCTGAGAGTCCTGTCCATTTGCTGTAGTTTAATTCTTTCCTTAAAGAGGCAATTGCTTTTGAGTGAGGGCTAAAGTAAATCTGTCCCTAGATGGCTTTATGTAGTTGCTACCTTTAGCTTATATTCAAACAAATAGGAAAAGACAACTTTTTCAAAGATAGTGCTATGTCACTAACTTCCATTTACTAATATCTTTAATTAGTATTTAACTGGTGAAGAAATGGCTAGTTAAAACAATTCCAACAGGCTTGTAATGCCATCTAGTGGACAGTCTTCAAAATATCCCACGGGCCATCTTCTTTCTAAGTGATCATCAAATAAGTCTTTATTCTTCAGGATGTAGCCAAGCTACTAGCTAATAATTATTGGTTGGGATCACTGAACTCACTGAAAAATCTCTAATAGTATTTCTAACATTGATGCAATCTTGGGGAAAATTAAGGTACCACCTGTGTGCCTTGGGCTCTTCATCCATTCAATTGATGGAGCTAAGCCTTTGGAATAAAGTACAGCTGCCCAAAGTGGTGATTCAATGCACTCAGTTCATCCTCATTGATACCATATCATGTATCTCTTGCCTGCTATGTGAGGGATTTAAGTATAATTGCTCAGTTCTCTTGAGTAATAAGTTTAAGTAATAAATGACATTTGTGATTTTTTTTTACTATAGAAGAATTTTAACAATTTTACATACTTCTAATAGCTACTTTGTGTAGAATGTACTCATTTTACACATGAGGGAATTAAGGTTAATGAAAACTAAGTGACTTGAGCAGAGTCAGATGCATATTAAATTCAACTATAGATTTTCAAAATCTAAGTTCATTGACTCTTTCAATAAGCCAGTACCATATGGAAAGAATGGTACTTCATCACAAAGGAGAGCATTTCTCAGAAATGCAGAGAGGATTGAACATATATTCACCTATTAATGTGATTCACTACTTCAGCACACACAAAAGGAAAGAATGCCTGGTTATCTCAATAGACGCTTAAAAAGCATTTGATAAAATTTGACCCCGTTCTTGATAATAATAAAGTCTTGGTAGTAAAAGGATGCTACCATAATGTGATAAAGATCATATACAAGAATCCTACAACAATCCTCATGTATACTGATGAAACATAATTGTTTCCAATTACACTCAGTAATAGGGTTAGTATTTCTATTATCACTATGAATTAAACAATGTACTTGAGGCCATGCAATAAGACAAAGATTTAATTGGTATGATTTGATTGTTTATCCAGAAAATCTAAAGAATTTGTTTTTAAATCAGAACTTATGAGATAGTAAATAGTGCCAAAGAGAAATGCATAAAAATAGCTCTCCTATAAAATTAAAAAAGAAATCAATCGCATATACAATAGGAAAGGAAAAATACTGAAAACACAAAAAGCAAACTAAAAAAAGCAAACAAGTTGAAAATGCTTAGGAACAAACCAAATGAGAAATGTGCAAGTCATGTGAATAACAGTTGAGTTTTATCAGATGTTTAGCAGCTATTGAGATGACTATATATTTTTAAATATCTTTTGGGCTTTCTGATGCAAATATGGGGATGTTATCTTATTATACACAACTTAGAACTGAAATGTCATAAAAAATTTGACAAGAAAGAGACTGAGAAAAATACTTGCAATAATTCAGTTCAAATATAGTTTCCTTAAGAAAAGTCTTCCTTTACATCCATGTCTTGGTCATATTTTAACTCTCTCTCAATTGCTATTCCCATTATTCAGAGCATGTATCTCACTTTAGAATAATGCATTTACTATAGTGATTATCCTATTAGTTTTTCAATTAATTTCTTCCATGAGACTATAAGTTCAAGAGAACATGGACTCTAAGCACACATTTTGGAAAATAACAGGCTCAATAAGTAGTATTTGTTGAATGAATCAATGAAAATAAATCTAGACTATATATAAAATATAGAATATATAATTACATTAATTACATCAATTACATAACTATATTATATAATATATAATATACACAATAATCTATATATAACAATTATGGGGCCAGTCATGGTGGCTCACACCTGTAATCCCAGCACTTTGGGAGGCCAAGGCGGGCAGATCACCTGAGGTCAGGAGTTGGAGACCAGCTTGACTAACATGGAGAAACCCCATCTCTACTAAAAATACAAAATTAGCCGGGCATGGTGGCACGTGCCTGTAATCCCAGCTACTCAGGAGGCTGAGGCAGGAGAAATCACTTGAACCCGAGAGGCGGAGTTTGCAGTGAGCGGGATCGCACCATTGCACTTCAGCTTGGGCAACAAGGGTGAAACTCCATCTCAAAAAAAAAAAAATGCCAGTAATAAACCCTTGAATAATTTTCATTGCACTATAAGAGAGCACCTTTAGATTTTAGCTTCTTCCTTGGCATCTTATGATCTCAGAAAGAGTCAGACAAATGCCAATGTAGAAAGAAGTTGAATTATCATAAAAAGAAAGTATCAGACAAGAAGAAAACTTGAATGGAATGTCCATCTTTTCCATTCTCATTAATGGAATAGATTTATGGTGAGGAAGAAGGATTAAAACCACAATTACTTTTGCACCAACCTAATAGATAAGAGAGGGGAAAAAAGCCCCAGAGAAGTACATTAAGCTTCCTTAACAAGCTTAAATCCCTGAAGCCTTAATAGTTCCATGAGAGGTTAAACAAAAGTGGATGGGCTTTTGTGCCCCACACTCAATTTGGAAATCCATGGGCAGTGGAGGTAGGAGTGAGTTAACTATGAGAAATATTGTCTCACAAGGTTAGTCCATGGCAATATTGTTTGGTCGCATGGAGTTCAATTAGAGACAGAGCCAGAATGACACCTGAATTACTCTGATCGCATGAGACCAGGAAGTACATGGATGTGCTGACATGGTTGTGAAAGGTCACAGATGATTTTGGTTGGAAATCTTGATGGAGTTGTCATGGCCTAGAGGAGTATCATGACAGTTCTGAATTCCAGGGCAAATGTCCCAGATCGGAGATCTAGTGGGTATTTCAGGGACCTTAGAAAAATGGACAAGTGCCAGACAAAGGAAAGGTGGCACCGAATCATTTGGGAGGAAAAACAGGCCATGACAAAATCAAGTCAACAACTCTATGCATCCATGGCTGCAGACTTCCTCCTCAACCCCAGTCCAAGAGTCAGAGAAGGCAGCCCTAAGCAGAGACCACAGATGGTTTAGAAGACAATGCAAGGGTCCATAGGCTTTCCTCTCCATACCAAGAGGTCAGGTAAGCCTGTCTGTACAGCATTAATATATTTACCACATCCTATCTTGTGGCAGAGAAGGAGGAAAAAGGAAAAGTAGCCCTGACAGAAAGTTACAATTTGAATTGGCTCATAATTGCTTGAAACTGAATGGTCTTTAACCAAAAGATACTGATATACCATAAACTGACAAATTTAAGTTAGGTTTTACCTAAGATGAAATCTGTTATAGAAAATAAGAGTGAAGAGGATTGACATTATTACATTATATTTCTCCCAGCAGATTAGCAGAGACAAAAAAGATCAATACTATTTACTGTTGATGGAAGTACAAAGAAATATAATTTAAAATACTCGGAAGTATTACACACTGACAAAGTGTTTCTGTGGGTAGTCTCACACTATCAAAATTTTAAACGGCATGCCTCACGTCTAGCAATCTCATTTCTATCTATCTATAGATATTGAGATGTTCTCAAATTCAGTTATTGGAGAACATATTTAAATTTGATTTAAAATAAAGATAACTGGCATAATCACTGAAATGTCCAAAGATAGTTCAAGTTTCAGGCATGGTACCATCATGACTCAAATTTCGTTTCCCTCAATACTCTGCGTTTTAGTCTTCTGCAAGTAGCAGCCTTCTGTTCAGTCTGACAACTCTACTTCACAAAATGGCTGCAAGCAGAAACCAGGGTTACCAGTGTGAAAGGAAAATAAATCTTGGGGCCCCCAAAATCACTAAGCTAAAGGGAAAAGTCAAGCTGGGAACTGCTTAGGGCCAACCTGCCTCCCATTCTATTCTAAGTCATCCCTCTGCTCACTGAGATAAATGCATATCTGATTACCTCCTTTTGAGAGGCTCATCAGAAACTCAAAAGAATGCAGTGGTTTGTCTCTCACCAACTTGTGACCTGGAAGCCCCCTCCCTGCTTGAGTTGTCTCACCTTTCTGGACAGGACCAATGTACATCTTACATATATTGATTGATGTCTCACGTTTCCCTAAATGTGTAAAACCAAGCTGTGCCCTGACCACCTTGGGCACATTTCATCAGGACCTCCTGAGGCTGTGTCACAGACACGCATCTGCAACCTTGGCAAAATGAACTTCCTAAATTAACTGAGACCTGTCTCAGATTTTCGGGGCTCACACAAGCATCTTCATTTACATCTAGAGAAGATAGAGTATCTCTCCATACAGCACTGAATAAAATTCTTGATCATCACTCTGTTTGGACCACCTTAGGCAACAGACCCATAGTTAAGCCCATACATAGCAGGCGAGAGGACCCTGATAGGGTAAGCCAAACTAAAACACATCCAAGATTTCGAGGTAGAGTCAACCCCACCAGTCATATGGTTGCTATAACTAACATACTTGAATGTGTACCTGAATGTGAATAGCAGGTTGGTATTTTTAGATAAAGACATTTTCCTCGTTTCTGTACCCCATGGTCCCTCCTCCTGTCTGAGCAACTTAGTATCGCCATTGCCTCAAGGAAGGAAGGAACGATACGACAGAGAGCATAGACATCAGAAAAGTTAGGTCTTATCTTTTCAGTTTTGGAAGATTTGGTACACATAATCAGTTAAAATTATTTTTTCCCTGAATAGGAGAATAAAAGTATCAGAGAACGGAGAGTAACAAGTTATATGTAACTTGAGTCAGCTTCTCCCCATGTCAGAGATGGAGGAAACTACAAATGATAAAATAAAAATTCTACCAATATTTGAGGAACCCAAAAGCAAAGTGACCCTGAGCTGCTATCAACCTTCCCAGGTGTAGGGACCTTAAGGAAAAGGTCACAGAGCTTTTTCTGCTTCAAGAGAGTACAAGAGCACTGGAATGGAGATGCTATAATGGTGAAGGGCCTTAGGCAGCCCCACTTGGTTTCCTTCCCAAGACTAGAATGACTTTCAATCTGCTTCTGAGCTGTAAAGGAGCAGCTAAGAGACATCCAGATGTGGAGAGTCCTTGCTTTCAGTAACTAAGAATCAGATGGAACCATGAATATCTCGAAAGACAGAGGCCCTGATAGCTCCCTGTAATGTAGTACCTGGGGTCCCCAGAGGAATCTAAACACAGCCTGAGAAAGTGTCAGGGACATCTGAGAATTACATAAGATCATGTTTCTGCCATAGGAAAAATTAAGACCAACTAAGTTCAGTTATAGACAAAGTTACATACTTTGCGGACTGAGACTCACACTTGGTACTTATGCATGTAAATGATATGCAAATAAATCAATAAAGCTCTGGAAAGGAAAATGGCCAAAGGTTAACAGAGGCAAGGATGTCTCATAATTGCTCAAGTATCGTTCACATGAACTACAATATTCTTATATTATATTGATGAGAAATAGTGTAATGCAGAGGTTAAGAGTTCTGATTATGGAGACAGTCTGGGCAAGTTACTTAACCTCTTTGTACTATGGTTTCCTCAAGCAAAATGCAAATAATTTTAGCTTCCTCACAGTTATGAGAATTAAGTATTACATTGTCAAGGTCTTTTTTAAATGCCTACAAATATTAAGTGTTCAACAATGTTCATTTTTATTATTTTTCATTTTGACAAAATTTATGATTTACATAAATTAACATGAGTTTATAATAAAACTGATAGGAAAATTAATAACCCAAAGAAGAAATCAATTCAATTTTTAGATGGCATCAAATAAATAGCTCTCATATAAAGACAACAATGTGCCGATAATGGTGAGATCGGCAGGGATTAGAGATTTTGAAGGGTGGGAGAATTTGGATTGAGTCTTGACGATAAAGTAGGATTTGAATTTGGGAGAATACAGATTTTGGTTTTATAAAGAACATGACTGGTAAAACATACAGAGGGCCAAATAAATGTCCAAAGTATGTCTGAGAGAGGAGATGTCATTGGTTGTACTGGACGGCTTGTTTCAGATACCATATAGTTTAAAGTTGGAGAGGTAGGCTGGGCTGGACCACTCACTGAGAGCCTTACGCAGCCAAGATATACATTCAGGAGCTGATGTTTGAGCCACTGATGGGCTTTGCATGGGATTTATTGTGAATGAGGCAGCAGTAGAAGATAAATGGATCAGAAGTGAACAGACCCATTTAAAGGGGAACTTTATCCAGGCATGCAGGATTAAGGGTTTGAATCATGTGATTTTCTATTAACTGAAAAATAGAGAAAAAGGTCAATTTTCTTCAGAAAACAATGAGATCTGTATAAACTCTACACACCCAGGACCCTTGTGTCAGTGTCTGCTTGTGGGTGGGGTTGTTTTGGGAGGGCTTCCGATGGCTTTCTTCTGTGTCATTGTCTCTCAAGACAGGGAACTGTCTACTGTTGACTGACGTCACCATTTCATGTCCTGCCAATATTGGACACGTGCTGAAGCCTTACTGACTTAGTGAATTAGGTGAAACCCAAGGCAATAGTGGGACTTTGACCTGTTGAAATGAGGTCTAACCTAAATAAATCTTTTTATCCTGGTTCTCATTCCTTTTGAGTCTCTGTGTTCTATGCAGGTTTAGAAAATATCCAGGTTCCCAGGACCTTGTTTTCTTTTGCTATCAGAATTGACAACCTCGCTATTGGTTCTGTCTAAAGCATAGCTGAAAGACTGAACAATTACCTATACTAAAGAGTGTTGCAACAAGCCTCACACAAATGGCAGGGCTCATAATTAAAATTATATCCATAAAAAGGAATGTTTGAATATAATTATCTGTTCTTTGAGAAGAACAATAAGGAATCACATAAACTCACTTACATGCCGAGAACCCCTGTGTCTGGGAAACATAAACCAAGCCAAGATAATACTATGCAATTGATTTAGTATTTCCTTTAATATTAATTTAGCACATTGATAATGCTTATTTTCAGAAAGTACAACTGAGTTGAATTTTCAGAAAATACAACTGAGAAAAAGCAGAAGCCATAAAATGACTAACATAATATTAATTTAGACATTAATGTTTATTTTCAGAAAATACAACTGAGTTGAATTTTCAGAAAATACAACTGAGAAAAAGTAGAAACCATAAAATGACTTGACATATTGATATATATCCTTCAAGATATTTTCTTATGTGTAATTTTTTAAGAGGAGATAATACCATATACAATTTTTATTCTCTTGCTGCTTTTGCCATTTCATATATGGTGAAGACTTTTCAAACAATTAGCATTTTTTAAAACTGCAGTATATTCTATAATCCCTCTCAGTAAATCTTCCTTCTATTAAATATACAATTATTTCCAATTTTTCATTACTATAAATTATGCATTAAACATCTTTGTGCATTAATCTGTCCACATCTTGTTAAACTATGTGCTTTAGATAGATGCTTTTGTTCTCACTTATAAATGGGAGCTAAATGATGAGAACACGTGGACACAGAGGGAAACAACACACACTGGGGCCTATCAGAGGGTGAGGGTAGGAGGAGGGAGAGGATGAGGAGAAATAACTAATGGGTACTAGGCTTAATACCCGGGTGACAAAATAATCTGTACAACAAACCCCATAGCAAAAGTTTACCTGTATAACAAATCTGCACATGTACCCCTGAACTTAAAGGTTTAAAAAAAAAAAGATAGATGCTTTAAAATTGGAAGTTACTGAGTAAATGGGACACACATTTTTAAAGCTATTGCCAAGAAAATTTGTTGTATTTACACTGTATCAACACTATGGGAGAGTAATTTTGTTGCTTTAGGTGTTATTTCATATAGAAGCTATAGACACTTCTGTGTGCCATTTCCACAAGACTCCTTCTGCTGGGATGCTGGCAGGGACATCAGTCTAAGCCAGTGAATACAGATTTGAAAGAAAAATATGACACGGTATTTATTTGCAGGTGGCATTATCATCTATAAAGAAAATCTCAAAGAATCTACTAAAAACACTAGAACTAATAGAGTTCATCAAGTACCCAAGATGCAAGGTTGATAAAAATAAATTACATTTCAATATAATAGCAATGAAATATCAGAAATATAAATTTTACAGAGTACCATTCACAATAAGATCAAAAACACAAAACAATTAATAAATCTAATAAAATATATGACTTGTATGCTGAACATTATAAAATATGGATAAGGATATTAATGTAATCTAAACAAATGGCAATATATACACTGCTCATGGATCAGAAGACTCCAAAAGAAGAAGAAAAAAAAAACTAGTTCAGTAAATGGTGGTAAAACAACTGGATATCTACATAGAAAAAAATAGACTTCAACCATACACAAAAATGAATTTTAAATTAATGAAAAATAAAACCACAAGACTTCTGCAGGAAACCTTAGGCTAAAACCTCTGTGACCTTGAGTTAGGCAAAAAATTTTTAGGACAGAAAAACATAAATCATAAAAGAAAAAATTGACAAATTAGACCTCAAAATGTAGAAGTTCTGCTTTTCAGAAGATGTTAAGAATACCACACTGGGAAAAATATTTTTAAAAACAGATATAGTAAAAGTTTTATCCAGAATATATAAAGAACTCTTAACAATAAAACAAATATTCTAATAAAACCCTGGGCAAAGTATCACAAAACTAATATCAATAAGCACATGAAAAATGTCTAACCCTATTAGTCCTTAGGGAAATGTAAAATTAAATCCATGATGAGATACTATTACATATCTAATGCTGAAATTATAAAAGAAAAAGTTCACAGTACAAAGTACTGGCCAGGATACAATTAGAACTCTCATATTGTTCGTGAGAATTCAGTATGGAATCATCCCTTTGAAAAACAGTTTGACAGATTCCTGAAAGTTAAACATGCATTTTCCATACAATCCAAAATGTCCACTCCTAAATATTTAACCAAGAGAAGTAAAATTATATGTCTACACAAAGATCTGAACCTTAAAACTAAGAGCAACCCAAATGTGTATCATCTGGTGACTGGTATATCTACACAATAAAATTCTACTTAGTAAGAAGGAAAACCACTGACATATATACAAACATGGAGGTATCTCGAAGGTCTCATAAGTGAAAGAAGTTGGACATAGAAGGCTAGATGCTGTATGATTCCACTAGATTTCATTCTGGGGGAAAAAACACTATAGTGACAGTGGCCAGGCACCATGGGTCAGGCCTGTAATCCCAACACTTTGGGAGGCTGAGGCAGGAGGATCTCTTGAGCCCAGGAGTTTGAGACCAACCTGGGCAAAGGGAGGACCTGCCTCTACAAAAAATAATTTTTTTAATTAAAAAACTAGCCTAGCCTGGTATGGTGATACACACCTGTAGTCCCAGCTACTCAAGAGGCTGAGGCAGGAAGATCTCTTGAGCCAGGGAAGTCAATAATGCAGGGAGCTGTGATAGTGCCACTGCACTCCAGCCTGGGCGACAGAGCCAGAACCCGTCTCAACAAGCAAACAAAAATCCACAACCTATAGGGACAGAATTCAGATCAGTTATTGCCAGAAACTGGGGGTGTGAGGGAAGAGATTGACTACAAAGGTGCAGCACAGGAGAATTTTTTGAGCTGATGATCATATATTATTATTCATAAATTGCTTGTGGTGATGCTTAAAAGAATTAATTTCCCTGCATGTAAATAACATCTTGATAACAATTTGAAAAACAGCAAATATTTGCAATAAAAAATACTAAACAAAATTAAAGCCTACAAATATACTCCCAGTTTCTTTTAGTTATATGATTCTCATTCTTTATTCAAGTATTTATTACTTATTTTCTCTTAACCTTGTGTGATATGAGTATAGTTTTCTTGGAACATTCTGTTTAACATAGCACAAAAGAATTTTGCGGGTGGCATTTGGCTATTAAACTTGTCGTAAATACATTTAAATGGGTAAACCCAGAGAACTGGAAGACAAAAATAATAAAGCGAGTCTGTTCATTATGTAAATTAAGATGTCTTGAAAACTGCTGGTGAAGGTTTGTAAACAGACAGTGGTGCGAAGACAAGTGTTAAACAAACAGCTCTCCAAGATCAGGGAAACAAATCCTAATTTGTGATGTGTGTGTATTCCTGTGTTACAAATATTCCCTCCTAGGCTGATTGATTCAGGCTACCAACATGATGTCATTGAACCAGGAGTTGGGAAGAGATGCTGGGAAAATATGTTCACAACCTGCTCTCAAGAACCAACGGGGCCGGGCACGGTGGCTCACACCTGTAATCCCAACACTTTGGGAAGCTGAGGCGGGTGGATCACCTGAGGTCAGGAGTTTGAAACCAGCCTGGCCAACATGGTGAAACCCCATCTCTACTTAAAATGCAAAATTAGCCGGGCATGGTGGCACATGCCTGTAATTCCAGCTACTTGGGAGGCTGAGGCAGGAGAATCGCTTGAACCTGGGAGGCAGGGGTTGCAGTGGGCTGAGATCGTGACATTGCACTCCAGCCTGGGCAACAAGAATAAAACTCCATCTCAAAAAAAAAAAAAAAACTAGCAGGAGCTAACACATAGCACAGCTCAACTCCTCTCCTCGTTATAGAGGTCTGATTCAACTGGATAGACATGGTTTTTTGTATATAGAGTTTTGCTCTTAATATATATTATATATTCTTGTACATATTTATATGTGTGTGTCTTTCTGTTAAATGATAGCAATGGGCAGAACTTTGAGAGACCATAATACTTTGCAATGTGAAATTTATAGATCTATAATCAGATAACAGTTTTCTGAATAGTAATTTTGCTATATAGATTATGATTTAAGAAAAGGTTTATGGCAAGGCTATTCAGATATGGGAAGATTAATTCCTTAGAAAATATTTATTAGTGCCCACATATAGTAATCCATTGGATCAAAGGAGAACAGAGAAGAACTCATGGATATTCATCATAGATGAAATTAGCATGAACTGAAAGGCGACTCAAAGGAGAATATGATTATACCATCCTCTGGTCTCCATGCACACTATTTGATCTTACAATTAAATGATATTTTAGAATAATGTCTTTATTTCTCCCCCTTCCCCTCCTCCCATGTTCTGCTCTAAAACCTAGCAATAAATCTCAGAGGATACACACTTTCTTTTAAAATAATTTTAAAGACAAAAAGAAAAGCAAAATAAAATGATAAGGATTGTATGTGTTTATATGAAACATCAGACTCCAATTAATTTTTGTATTTGACACTAGCCACGTCAAATCATACCCTAGAGATTGGTGGTAGGAAAAGAATCAACACTCCCGTTTCTCTGCTGATAGAGGTACTTCCATGGGAAACTTTGGAAAGCCTGCGGTAGAAAATACTCATTATTGTACTGCAGGCATTCCATTCTGTATTTAAGGCATATGCCAGTGTCGATGTCCAGAGGAACAATGGGTATCTCTAAGTGTTTGTTTTCTTTGAAATTCCTGTTAGGGCTTTTGTTCCATTTGATTTTCTGTAGTTGAAGGCTTTGGAAGGTTTTGCCTGGAGTCACTTTTGTAGAAATAAAGGTATCCTATAGAAGATCTGCTCTTCCTTTGCCCTTTTTAATACTTCTCAGCGGCTGCGGGCAGTGGCTCACTCCTGTAATCCCAGCACTTTGGGTGGCTCAGGTGGGCGAATCACGAGATCAGGAGTTCAAGACCAGCACAGCCAATGTGGTGAAACCCCGTCTCTACTAAAAATACAAAAATTAGCAGAGCATGGTGGCTGGTGCCTGTAATCTTAGCTACTTGGGAGGCTGAGGGAGGAGAATTGCTTGAACCCAGGAGGCAGAGGTTGCAGTGAGCCGAGGATCGCGCCACTGTACTCCAGCGTGGGCAACAGATCAAGACTCTGTCTCGGGGCGGGGGAATACTTCCCAGCATCAGTCCTGTTTTAGGACAAGAAAGCAGTAATTCAAAGAAGTCAACTGTCTTATTCAAGGTCACAGACTCAAATCACTAAGTAGCACCATTGTGACAAGAGGACGGGACACAGTATTCCGAGGGAAAGAATTTAGCAACAACTTGTCAGTGGCTGTGGAGTGGGAGCCTTAAGTATTAGTCTCAGGTAGGTGAGTAAGTGACTCATCAGGGCATGTATTTTACCATGTTCAGCCTCAATTTCCTCATGTATAAAGTAGGATGAACATGGACTACATCATTTTTCTCCCCCTCCAACTGAGACAGCATTTCAGTGACCTCCACCCGGAATGAAGGAAAGTGTCTAAGCTCTTGAGCCCCAGTTCAACCGGAGTGATTCCATTTTTAACTCTTGTATATATTGAAATCATGGAGAGATTTTTATTAAAAAGAATTGCATATATACACTCTCCTATCTGTGTGTAATATATGTTGCATATGTATATATTGCACTCTTACATTTCTTACATTCCATAATAGTTTTATTTTTTTCTCCACATTTTTTGTTAGAATTATAAAACTTGCTTGCATTTGCTTTTGAGGACCTTTAATCACTAATAATATGGATGGCTTTAGCAATATAATTTAGTGCTTGATATAAAAGACAAGGAGAAAGAACGTCAATATACCAGTTGCAGAAAAACGGCATTAATCTACATGTATCATTATTAAAATCTGCAACAGAAATAAGAGTTTTAAAAAGTGACTCAAGGAAAGTCCTGATCAGAATTTTTTTCCTTCATATGAAGTGTTCCAATCACATTAATCAGGATATTCCAGACCTCCTCCATTCCCTTTAAACTCTTTTCAGACCTCTTGGTCTGTGAGCAGAACATGCAATAGAAGAAAAGGTAACTCCCTCTACAGCTCAACTGTGGTGAGACGAACGAGTAAAGTCTATGGGGATTTTCTTCAGAAAATCTAGACAATCCAAAGAATAGTCTCTGGGGTTTTGAATTTATTTCACGGGTTATTTTCTGTTGTTTCTCTTTGCAAAATACTTTTGGATTAATAAAAGTCACTTATTTCTCACTGAATTGTATTTAATTTTAATCTTCAAGACCAACTATCTATATATCAAATATGAAGTTCATCTTTACAAAAGCTTATATTTCTTTTGATATTTAACTTAGTCCAAGATGAATTAAAATGGGTATTTCTTCCTCTACTTGGAATGTTTTCATCTAATATGTAGATTATTTGTAGACCAGTCTCTGGAATCATCTCCTTCACTAATGGCATTTTTATGCAGCCAATTTATATTAATATAAAAAACACAGATCAATTCCTGCTTACTAGAGTAAGAGCAAATCTGTCCATCTCTTATTTTGACTATTTAAATCAACCCATTGCTTATATGTCAAAAGCAAATTTTTTAGAACTTGAGGGAAAAATTAATATGATTACAAGAATAATCTGCAAATCTTGAACACTATTTTAAAGGACTCATCAAAAAAATACTCTTTGCAAATATTTAAAGGACAAATGCAGTATAGTGCGCTCATATTACTGAAAACATTATTACCCTAACAAAATATACTGTAGGACAATGGCTAGGACATTATGTCATTTCATCAATAATTAATACTAAAGTACTCTTGCTGAGATACAAAGTTAATTTGGAGATGCCTGGAATCATAGATCTCCAATCTGGATGAAACCCACTGTGCCAACCCCTGTTATTACAGGTTGATTTTACAATTGAGGAAACTGAGGAACAGACAAGCAACTTTCAAGGTCATCTAGAAATTCACTGGTAGATCCAAAGTAAGGATCCAGGAATATGTTTTTGCTCAGAAGAACTCATGAAAATGAGTTAAAATGACCTGGACTTTTTGTTATTCTACTTAATAGCTGTTGGAAGGGAGGACAGGTTACTTAACCTCTGTGAGTTCTCATTTCCAAGCAGAACAAAGAACATAATTATCACCACCTCCCAGCATTGTGTGAAGTTAATTTGAAGTAATTGTGTGAAAGCACCCTACAAATATAGCAGACTTGCCAGTGGAATACTAATGCATATTTTGCTATCTAAAAGGGAGCAGTCACTAATGAGCTCTGTAAGAAACCAGAATGCTATGCTGCCCTATCAGGGAGCACTTTACTTCTTAACCTCTCACCAAGATTAAAAATGACTGATACAGATATCCCCTTGGTTCCTCAGACTGCCTTAAAAACAGGAAATTGGTTCTTGCAAATCAATACTTACTCTAGCTCTAACTATAACTTTAACAGCTGTTTCATCTATCTTAAATAGAACTAGCTATACCGCTGAAATCTGAGTATATTCCATGTGACTGGCAGTTTTTTCCCCTAAAGCTATAACTGAGCTTGTTGGATAAAGCTTAATTGCTAACTGTGGAGTGCTAATGATACCACATTGATGAAATTACAGGATCACTGATAGAGAAGGGGCTCCTAACGCCCTGGAAGCTACAGGGAAGCTCTAAATAATAGTTATCGATTTGTTTCTCTGAAGGCCACTAAGTAGCACAAACTACTCAGAAGAACAAAAATTATCCACAGGGTTTCCATTCATTCATAATTTATTTCTTGGCTTCCATTTTCAACTTACCAATAGCCAATTATAATTTTAATAATTATATGTCTCAAAATAAGTAGTTTCTGCCTTGGAGAAAGCAATACTACAAATTATTCTTTTATTCCCCTAAATTGAGCTGGGTCTCCTCTGTTGAGTGTGCTACAATAAAAGCATAATAATAATTAGGCCAGGTGCAGTGGCTCACACCTGTAATCCCAGCACTTTGGGAGGCTGACGCAGGTGGATCAACTGAGGTCGGGAGTTCAAGACCAGCCTGGCCAACATGGCAAAACCCCATCTCTACTAAAAATACAAAAATTAGCCGGGCATGGTGGCGCACTCCTGTAATCCCAGTTACTCAGGAGGCTGAGGCATGAGAATCGCTTGAACCCGGGAGGTAGAGGTTGCAGTGAGCCAAGATCCCACCACTGCACTCCGGTCTGTGGGACTCTGTCTCAAAAACAAAAGCATAATAGTAATTAGTCATTCTTAAACCTCATGGCTTTAAGACAAAAGAAGGACCAAAAGAGTGAGTTGAAAGTATATAAAGACAGCTAACTTCAGAAGATGTCTCATGATCCTTAATTCCCGAGTTAGGCTTCACTCTTGCCTGGATTTGTCCCTAGAATTTGTCTCCATGACTTGTCCCATCTGGCAGTAGATCAAGCCCCATTTATTCTCAGCTGGTGCCTTCCTCCAATATCATTTTCATCACTGTTAGCATATTTTGAGTGACTACCTCAGACCAGGCTCTGTTGAATTTTATGTGCATTGTGTCATTTAATTGTATCCACCATAGGAGCTTGGTATTAAAACCCCCTTTGCAAAAATCATAACTGAGAAAATTACATACGGTGAAAGATCTGAGCTAAACATCTCCATTTTGCTTCCAACCTCCAAGCTGTCCTTGTCCATTCCTAGGTGTAGGCTGAACTAACTTTGGAAGGAACTTATAGTTTAGCTTTGAGACAAAGACAAAAACAGCCCTTTCCCCAGACAAACCCCCTTTATGCTTAGGGACTAGACTGCCTTTGCAGACTAAAAATTGGTCACAAGATTAGAAATTATGGTTTAGAAATCATGCAGCTGGAGGCTGCAACATTCTAAACTTCCCCAAATTGCTCTTGGGGATAACATCACTATTGTAAAACCTAAGACCTGTGCTTGAGATATTTTGCAGACCCTTCACTCAGTGGATCAGCTGGCACCACCCAGGTTGATAAACTGGCTCACCCGGACTTGTGGCCCCCACCCAAGAACTGACTCAGCTCAAGAGGACAACTTAGATTCCCTATGATTTCATGTCTGACCTGACCAATCAGCACTCCTGACTCACTGGTCCCCTACCCACCAAATTATCCTTAAAAACTCCAATCCCCAAATTTTCAGGGAGACCAATATGAGTAATAATGAGTAATAATAAAACTCTGGTCTCATGCACAGCCAGCTCTGCGTGAATTACTTTCTCTATTGCAAATCCCGTCTAATAAATCCACTGTCTAGGCAGCAGGCAAGGTGAACCCATTGGGCGGTTACAGTATTATCTCCATTTGACAGTTGAGAAAACTGAAGCCAAGGGAACTGATTCACCTCCTTGATTTCCAGAGTTGGGAATGTCAGGGCTGGGACTGGACTCGTGCATCCACATGGACCACCCAGAGCAACAGTTTAGAAAATATTCTTCCTTTGCACTTGCCCAGCTTCTTCCTCAGGGATCCAGATTTCTCCGACTAAGACACTCATTTTCCTATGAAACTTATTCAGTACACCTGAGAGATCTCTACCAAGTCCTGCATGGTTTAAGTATTCTTTAAAGCAAAAACTTTTTCTCTAAACTCATAATGCTGCTGACACCAAACGTGTGGGTATTTCACACTGAGCAATTCTCCAATCCTCCGCAGACTCCAACTGAGTGTCCCACAATTTAGTTTAATTCTGACTAACCACCTGGAATTAGTGCAGACCCCACAGGTTGAGGACTTAGTCCTATAAGACTGCACCGTAGCTGCAAATGCCTATGGCAAGTAGTGGGTTCCTGGAGTACTCACGGTTTTGTCCCATCTTGCTACAAATCAGGGGTTCCTACTGATACAGGTAGGCTAGGGGAGGTCCCCAAATGCCAGTGGGATCTCGATCCCAGTTGGTGTCCAGGCTCGTGACACTGCCACAAGATGGAACTCAAGGATGAGTCAGAAAAAAGTGAAAGTGCAGATGTTTATTGCAAAGAACATTACCTCTCAAGAGGGGAGTGTGGGCATACACAAGGGAGTGAGTGCTACAACAGGATTTGGGTCTTCTATCTTTATGGATTTAACCAGGGCCTGGAATATTCATGAAGATTCCTGGAAAAAGGTAGAGATTTCTTGGAACTGAGGTGCCACCCATTTTTACACCAAATATGGGTATTCCTGGAACTGATGTGTGCTGGTGGGTGTGTGATTTAGGATGTTAATGAGCAGATAGTGAGATCTAAGGTGAAACCTAGGTCAAATCCAGTACCATGTTGGGTCCAGTCAGTCTTAGCCAACTTGATCCACACCCTGGTTTTTCAGGGTCTTAATAGCCCCAAACTTATACAGCTATTTCAACAGTTTTTTTGCTGGTCATGTGAAACTGCTGCCTGCAAGTGTCTATTCTCCTGTGACCACCTTGCTTCATTCCTGTCTCACCATAACCACACCTCCTCAGTTTAGATAATTTGCTGTGACAGCTCACAGAACTCAGGGAATCACTTCACCTACTCATTGTCAGTTTATCAAAGGATACAGATGAACAGCCAGATGAGAGGTGCATACAGCAAGGTCTGGAAGGGTCCTGAGCACAGGAGCTCTGTCCCTGTAAGTAGGGTACGTCACCTTCCTGTCTTGTGTTCACCAACTTACAAGCTCAAGGACTCCTTCATTTAGGCTTTTTACCGCAGTCCCACTGCATTAGTGTGATAGATCACTGGCCATGAGTTTACTCAATCTCCCCAGAGGATGGGGCTGAAAGTTATGACCCTCTAACCACAGGGTCAATTTATTTTATTTACTTTTATTTTATTTATTTATTTATTTTAGATGGAGTCTCACTGTTACCCAGGCTGGGGTGCAATGGCACCATCTCTGCTCACCACAACCTCCGCCCCCTGGGTTCAAGCGATTCTCCTGTCTCAGCCTCCCGAGTAGCTGGGACTACAGTCACGCCCCACCACGCCTGTCTAATTTTTGTATTTTTAGTAGAGACAGGGTTTCACCTTGTTGGCCAGGCTGGTCTAGGACTCCTGACCTCAAGTGATTCGCCCACCTCAGCCTCCCAAAGTGCTGGGGTTACAGGCATGAGCCACCGCGCCCGGCCTCACAGAGTCTATTTCTTTGGCAACCAGGGCTCACCCTCCAAGAGTCAGCTAATTAGCATAACTGAGATGTGGTTGAAAAGGGCTTATTATGAACAACAAAAGACACTCCTATCACCCCTCTTACTCAGGGAGTTACAAGGGTTTTAGAAACTCTCAGCCAGGAACCAAGGGCAGAAACCAAATACATTTCCTATTATGTCACATTTTAAATCAATATGAAATAGTGGACCCAGGCAATTGAGTGTTTGGTGTAAACTTGGATCACACATTACCTAAGATCACTCACTTACACCTACAAATACACTAAAGGATAATAGAAAAGAAATGATTTGTAGGACCAAAGAGGAAGGAATAATTTGTTATACTTTAAGGGAATCAAGGCAAAGCAGCTGAGGTTTAAGCTGAATCTTAAGATCTTTCTTGATATACATATACATATATATATTCCTTAAAGCAGGGACCCAAAACAGGTCCTTGGCCTATTAGGAACCCAGCTGCACAGCAGGAGGTGAGCTGCAGGCAAGCAAAGTTTCATCTGTATTTATAGCCACTTCCCATTGCTCACATTGCCACCTGAGCTCCACCTCCTGTCAGATAATCAGCTGCATTAGATTCTCATAGAAGCGTGTACCCTATTGTGAGATGTGCATGTAAGGGATCTAGGTTGTGTGCCCCTTATGAGAATCTAATGCCTGATGATCTGTCACTGTCTCCCACCACCCCCAGATGGGATCATCTAGTTGCAGAAAAACAAGCTCAGGGCTCCCAGTCACTCTACATTATGGCAAGTTGTATTATATTACAGTGTATTAATAATAAAGTGCACAATAAATGCAATGTGCTTGAATCATCCTAAAACTATTCCCCTCCCCCATCTTCACCCCAATTCATGGAAAAATTGTCTTCCATGAAACCCATCCCTCGTGCCAAAAAGGCTGGGGACCACTGCCTTAAGGGATACCAAATCTATTCTGTAGTCTAACTTCCAAGCCCCAGAATTAAAAGATACAGAAATTATTAATCTGTTAATAAGAGTTTGGGGGAAAAAACCCACAAAATTATGTGACTATTCTAAACTAGAAAAGTCTACGAATTAAAAGGTCATTGTAAAATAGGGCCTCATTTCATCAATTTGTTTTAGATCTGTGACTTCAATGCTTTGAAGTCAGAGATGTGGTCTGTGGCAATGACTGGATCAGAAAGAATAGGAAACAGGCCAGGCGCAGTGGCCCATGCCTGTAATTCCAGCATTTTGGGAAGCCAAGGTGGGTGAATCACCTGAGGTCAACAGTTCGAGACCAGCCCAGCCAACATGGTGAAACTCCATTTCTACTAAAAACACAAGAATTAGCGGGGCGTGGTGATGGGCACCTGTAATCCCAGCTACTTGAGAGGCTGAAGCGGAAGAATCAGTTGAAACCGTGAGGCGGAGGTTGCAGTGACCCAAGATCATGCCATGCACTCCAGCCTTGACTACAAGGTGAAACTCTGTCTTGAGAGACAAAGAGTCAGACAAAGACAGACACAGAGACACACAGACAGAGACACACAGACAGAGACACACAGACAGAGACACAGACAGAGACACACAGACAGAGACACAGAGACACAGACAGAGACACAGACAGAGACACAGAGACACAGACAGACACAGACAGACACAGACAGACACAGACAGACACAGACAGACACAGACAGACACAGAGAGAGAGAGATCAAGCAAGCAACATTCTCAAGTATAAGGCATTTCAGAGCAAAGAACTCTGCCATAATGAAATTAGAAAAGTAGGTAATTAAGTCTCCACACACAACTGTCATATTTGCATTAATGAATTCTTCAGTGTTTATAAAAGTTCTCCCCCAGCTGTCCTCAGTTTGTCATAGCTCTAGTGAGAAGAAAATAATCACTGCAGTCATGAAAACACAGAATTCCCAAGCTAGTTGGAACATTATTTTTAGTCTAGTTTAATGCCATTCTCATATATGACGAAGGACACGAAGGTCCAATGAAGTTAAATGACAAGACAAAATGTCAAAGCCACATAGTGGCTGAGCCAGGACTGCAACTGATATCTTCCAGGTCCTAATTCACTGCCCTTTCAGCCCCACCTTGGTTTTTTCCAACACCCTTTGACTTCTTGTAGTTCAGTACAGGCAGGTGAAACCACATCATTCCTTTTCTTCCCCAAGAGGTCATTTAAGCACGTGAGTCAGGAGATCATAGGAGAACATAATTCTGTTTTCACTATGAGTCCATTTTCTTCACTTTTATATTGCTACTTAATAGTCCATTCTTCATCAAAAAACAGGTCTCTTTCAAAATGATCTCTGCTTGCAGAAACCCCGAGACCTTTCTAGTGGGTTTCCATAGAAGCAGTTTCTGAAAACAAGAAAATATGACTCAGTTTTAGCTATAGGGCTACATGTGTCCTCTGACTTCTTGCTGGGGCAGTTGGCCTTTCAGGGTCTGTTGTAAATCCTTTTCTGGGATCTCAGGTGTGCATTCGGCTTGCTCCTACTTTTTCATATCTGGGGTCCTTCAGAATGAAATTATACAGGGTACCCTTAGAAAAGATTTGAGACTCCTTTTCTCTGCCCAGCAATGCAGAAATCATGCAAGCTCTCTCATTAGCCTTATGTTGTTTTGCTGAATTTATAGGCGGAAGTTAACTGAATTTTATATGGTTACCTTTCCCCAGTTAAAGAAACCTCTCATTAGCTAAGACTTAGTGGCTCCAAAGGGTGTAGACTGGCTTCATTGAGTATTTCTGGGTACCCGTGCTTCCTCTAAAGTCCCTGAAACAGCAAGTTGCTTGTTAGAAAGGCAAAGCCCTCGACCCTATCAAGTCAAAATTTGCATTTTTTTCATGCTTCTCAGGTGGTTCTAATGCATCTGAAGTTTTGAGAACCTCTGCCACAAAGCTAGCAAGTGGAAAATCGGGGTAAATTCTACCTGGGTAAGATGCTCTAAAACCTTGCTACTCAATGTGTGATTTACAAACCAGCTTCAGCATCACCTGGAAGCTTGTTAGAAATTCAGACTTTCCACCCCCACACCAAACCTACTGAATTTAAAAATCTGCATTTTAATAAGATCCCCAGGTGATACTTTACACAATGAAAATTGAGAAGCACAGTTCTAACAGACTTTCGCCTGAGAAGTTAGGAAATGAAGGCCAAATTCATTTCTCTTGCTTGAATCGCTTGGGTAATTGCTACTCTCTTCCCTTGCCTTTTATAAGATAGTTACAGCTTTAGGCAAAAGCCATCTTTGATAGGATTTTAAGAGATGCCAGGTTCCCCGGGGCTGCCTGAGGAATTCTTATATTCAGGCAAATTCTCAGAGCACTGCTGACAAAGACAACAGCCTCCAGGCATTGCAGACAGCCGCTCGGGGAAAGAGAGCTTGCCCGGGGAAAGGCCAACCAGCCGCCTCCTTGCCTGAAATCCTTGAGTCTGGCTGAAGGTTGATGAGATAGAGCCCGACTCTAGGTTTATTTTCCCATTTAATTCACTGAAAAACTTGAAACTCTAAGTATTAATCCCAATGAAGAGAGTCATAAGTGTTTCCTATTGGCAAACATAGCTTTTCCAGACTGGACCCTCCTCCTGTAAAGTTACCATTTCACTTTATTATCCAATTAGCCAACTGAGTGAACTCCGTTTCCTTCCAAATCCACCTATTTTCTATGAAAATAACTGGTCGAAATTACTGGTCTTCAGGTCAGAAATCCTTTCTCATTTGTTGGTTTTATTGTGAGGTCTTCTTGAGCAAATCATTTAACCATTCTGGGTCTTGTTTGTTTATAAAATGGGGATGATGATGCCTAACACAAACTGTTTAGCATCAGGTCTTATTTATTTTCTTCTTAGGATAAGGGGAAGGTCTTTTTAAGCATACTTTGAAAGCTTTAAGTCATCTTACAGATGTAATTTTTTATGCTAAATTGATAAGCATTAAGTCATAGCTAACAGATTTCTATTCTTCACATGTTCACAGATTACCTGTTTTTTTCCTTCTGTGGTCCACCAGTAGTAATATCGAATTGAGATCTAATGCTAATACCTATGGTGCCCTTCCAGACACCACCTTCGCACACTCAATTTGCCGTCCTTTATCTTTTTTTATCTCCCAGCCAGGCTTCTGTAATGCAACACCACTTCTGCCAACGCGGTCACTGACAGTACATTTTGCAAATGAGATCCTTTGGCATGCTAGATCTGATATTTCCCTGAAGTCTAGACACATTCCAGTGTGCCTATTCCATTATTTATGCATAGGTCTGCCATTTAGTTACCCAAGCTCTTTATGATAAAAGCTTACCTTCCCATCCTGTTTAGATGGTATAGATTAACAAATTAGAGAAATTCCTGACACTGGCTGACAACTGGCATAGTGCTTTACATTTTGTACTAGACTATAACAGGCAAGATCTCATTTTGACTTTTGTGAACAAACCTCATGAGCTCTACAGGGTAGGAACACTTGAATCCATTATCTAAACCTCAAAACAACTTATCCCAAAGTCACTAGCTAATAAATGGCAGATGTGAATCAACCCCAAATCTTCAAGCTCTGACCATGAATTTTGGATATCTTACAGAATGAATGAGGGCCAGGGTGAATTGCAGAGCAGAAAGTGAGGTAGAAACCAGAACCCCCACTCCTCCAGGACTAAGTCTCACACAAATGCATGCACATACCCATACCCTCCTCTGGGTTCCCAGAACACTACTTTTATATTTTCACTTTTGTACTTATTACATTTCTTTTTATGTGTTGCTTAGTCCATTTATACTGTTATAACAAAATACCTGAGACTGGGTAATTCATGTTGGGAATAACGTTCAAAATCCTAAGGAAATTGAACACTCAAAGGATTCTTAACAAAGCAATTTTACTTCTGCGCAGAGGGGTGCTTCTCCTTGGCCAGTCACCATGGGAGCACACCTGAACAAAGGGGCACGAGAGCCTTTACTCCTGATGCAAGTCCTGCCCCTGTACCCTTTCCCCATTGGCCGGGGTCTGGCCGTACAATCTAAACCAATCCCGGTTGGCTAAACATTTGAACTTTTTTTAGATAAGGTGGTCACGTAAGGGAGAGAGGGGAAAAGGGAAAGGGTGTCTGCAATGAGCCACAGAGCTAGTCTTCTTTCCAAATAAGGAAAGGAATGTGAGCTGGTACTGATAACACCTGGTACTGTGGCATGTCTGGGCGTGTAACAAAGGCAGAAAAGAAGAAAAAGAGAAAAAGAAAAAAGGCATTGGGGGGGGTACTATGAATTAAAGAATAAAGGATTGATCAGGCCATTTGAAGAGAAACCTCATTATGTCCCACATTCATAAAGAAAAAAAAATGTATTTTCTCACAGTTCTGAAGGCTGAGAAGTCCAAGATACCAGAAGGCTCATTGTCCAGTGAAGGTTGCTCTGCTTCCAAGAGGGCGCCTTGTTGCTGCCGCAGCCTCACATGTGGAAAGACAAGAGGGCAAGAGCTAACTGAATGTGGTGTGAAGCCTCTTTTATAATGGCCTTAATCCCACTTTGGAGGAAGAAGCTCGCAGGACCTAATCACCTCTCAAAGGCCCCACCTTTTACTATTACCGCATTGGCAACACCTGATTTTGGAGGCAACTCATTCAAACCATAGCATGTGTCTTTACTGGTTTCTGAGCTGCTGGAGAGAAGATAATACAGCTTTTTTTATATTTGTAGCTTCAGAACTGAACACACTATCTGGCACTTAGTTTCATGCTGTAAGTATTCGTTGGATGAATTTCAAGAGTTCATGTGTATGCACTGAAAAATAAAACAACAACAAAAACACTGTGTGTTCAATGTGCTCTAATGTATGAGGCTTGTTTTAGTTTTCAGGCTGCTAGAACAAGACTTCATAGACTGAGTGCCTTAAACAACAGAAATTTATGTCTCAGTCCTGGAGTCTAGGAAGCCTGAGATCAGGATGCCAGCGTGGTCAGGCCCCAGTGAGAATCCTTTTCCTGGTTTTCTCACATGGTGGATAGAAACAACTGCTCTCATATCTCTTCTTATATGGGGAAAAAAAAAATCCCATTAAGAAAGCTCCACCCTCATGACCTAATTACCTTCCAAAGGCCTCATCTCCAAATATTATAACAGTGGGGATGAGGGTTTCAACGTATGAACTGGCAGGCAACACAAACATTTAGTCTGTACCACAGCCCAATTTAGAAAATCTATCTAAACCCATACAGCCCATTGTCAAGTTAGACCTGTAGCTTTAAAATCAAACACCACTCCAGTCATTAGATAAGTCATTAAATAAGACTAACTAATTATCTAAATAATTAGATAAATCATTAAATAAGCACTTTATTTAGACATTATAGCATAGAGGCTAGGAGCACAGATGAACCCAGGCTACCTGGGTTTGGACTGGCTCCCCTAGCTGTGAGTCCTTGAATAAGTTACCCTGCTTCTCAGTACCTCGGTTACCATATTTGTAAAATGAAGGGAAATATTATACTCATCCTTCAGTATCTGCAGGGCATTAGCCCCAGGACCTCCAGAGGATACCAAAATCCATGGATGCTCAAGTCTCTGATATAAAATGGCATACTATTTGCATATAACCTATCCACATCCTCCTGTATACTTCAATCCATCTCTAGATAACCTATAATATTTAATACAATGGAAATGCTATGTAAATAGTTGTTATGCTGTGTTTTTAAAATTTATATTATTTTAAAATTGTTGTATTGTGATTTTCTATTGCTTTTTTTCTTTCAAATATTTTTCGTCCTCATTTGGTTGAATCCACGGATGTGGAGTCCATGGAGGTGGAGAGCTGACAGTATTTCTTGGGGTTGGGAGGATTAAGTGAATTCATATTTATAGGGCACATAAGCATACTAGTAAGTGTTAATCTTACTGTTATCATTAGAACCATCATTTCCCATTTCATTTGATTAGCACCAACAACTCCCAAAACTTCCAGTAACTTTCCAAACACTCTTAATGTTATAGGTCACATAATATGAAGTTTTATCTCTGTTCTTATTCTAGGGTCATCAAATGATGTCAAATCATCACATAACTTCACTCAACCTATCCAAATATTATAGATGTGTTTATTTTGTACCTACTGTTTACATGACAGTATTCTCTAGAATTATACTGTCCAATACAACATGTGGCCACATAAATTTACATTTAAATAAATTAAAAATAAGTAAAATAAACAATTCAGTTCTTCAGGTTCACTGGCCACATTTCAAGTACCGATTCACTGCCTCGCTATTGGCTGCCATATTGGACAGTACAGATAAAGAAAATTTTCTCATTGGTGAAAAGTTCTGCTGGACAGAGCTAACTACAAACACAGAGACAGCAGTACACCTTCATGAAGCTGGCATTCTACTACAGAAGATAAATATTAAACACATAAATACATAATAACTATGAATTAATTATATTTATGAAGAAACACATTATATTCAGTTACTAAAACATACTGTTAGAAAAATTAATTTTTCTGTATAATTCCTAAACTGCTACATAAATATATTAAAGTTATAACTGTTTTACTAATTACAAAAGTAAAATATGTTTATTGTAGAAAATTTAGAAGATACAAAAAGTATAAAAAGGAAAATCAAAGTATACATAATATTATTTTACAGACGATCCATAGTGCAAGTATTCTGAATTTTTTCTTCATTATCTGTACTTTAAACATTTTACCATGTCAATCTTCAAAATATGATTTTCAGTGTCTACATAATAGAACCGTTTGTGAATGTATCACTATCTTCTCACTGATTCACTGGAATTTAGGTTGTTTTAAAAATGTTTATTCTAACATCAAAAAAAATTCATATATATAATTCTTTGCCTGCCTTTTTATTTCCTCATGACAAATTCTTAGAAGTACCATTTCAGGGACAAAGTTACTAAACATTTTTAGACTTTTTTTTTTTTTGAGACAGGGTGTGGCTCTGTCGCCCAGGCTAGAGTGTAGTGGCACAATCTCTGCTCACTGCAACCTCCGCCTCCCACACTCAAGGGATTCTCCTGCCTCAGCCTCCTGAGTAGCTGAGATTACAGGTGTGTACCACCGTGCCCGGCTAATTTTTGTATTTTTAGTAGAGACGGAGTTTTGCCATGTTGGCCAGGCTGGTCTTGAACTCCTGACCTCATGTGATCTGCCCACCTCGGCTTCCCAAAGTGCTGGGATTACAGGCATGAGTCACGGCACCCAGCCCATTTTTAGACTCTTAAGGCATATTAAAAGAAGACTTTCTAAGAATCTTCTAAACTTATTTGCACACATATTTGTTCACCCTTTGCAAAAGTATATATCTTATTTTCTTTAATTGTGAAAATATTTTATTTAAATTTGGGTTTCTTTGATTAATTGTGAGGATGAACAGCACTTCATATACAGTCATTCCTCAGTATAGGTGAGGATTGGTTCCAGAAGACCCCTTCCATACCAAAATCCGCATATACTCAAGTGACACAGCCAGCCTTATGGATACCTTGTGCTTGAGAGTTAGCCCTCAAATATGTGGGTTTCCCATACCATGAATACAGTATTTTCAATTTGCTTTTGGCTGAAAAAAATGCACATATAGCACATATAAATAGACCCGCACAGTTCAAACCCCTGTTGTTCAAGGATCAACTGTATTTACTCATCATTTATATTTTATCTCTGAACTCTTTTAGTTCTGTAAACATTTTTCAAGTGAAAAATTATATGAGCTCTGTGTATTTTAAGGATATTAAACTTTTGTCTTTATAATTTTTGGCAAATATATTCTCCAGCTTGTTGAATATCATAATTGTGTTTCTACTTTTTAATACATGCAAAAGTTTCGAAATTCTTATGTTGCAAATTTCTTGCATTGTTTTTAAGTTTTGAAAGGTCCATGTGTTTAGAGGAAGCCCTAACACATAATGAACCCTCAATAAATATTTGATAAATGAATGGGCGAATAAATTAATGAAATATTTGACCTACACTGACAAACTATAGCCTCATTCTTTTTTTCTGCAGAGCAGATCAGTTCTCGCAGTCATTTAAATATGACCTGAAACAACAAGAAAACTTGGCATCAGTACTGAATTTCCGAAAATAACATAGTCAGTATCTGGGGAATTACCACAACATATTGTCTCCCTGACAGAAGCCTCCCACAAAGCCCAAGACCCTGCATTTTGTGCACATCCAGTCCCCAGATAGTCAATCTCCAAATTTTTCATACCATAGGATCAATGCTTTCTGATAGTTGCAGTTTTTTAAAATAGTGTCTTTACCCATTATTTAATACATGTTTAAAATTTTACTTCCACTTCTTCTCATTTCTACCTGGCTTTTTCTGTCCTCTTTCTTCTGTTATAATCTTGAGCACACACACATGATCAAGAAGGATAATTGAAGGTCAGTGGCATGAGGCATGAAAAATGCAAAAGAAGTTCTCTGCTTCTCAAAGTTCTATCAAGAAATCATAGTGATCCAATTTATAGTTCAGGGAAAGGACCTAGGACAGCATATACAGGGGCAAATAAACTTGTTTCCATTGACTGTTCATAGGAATGGCAACGTTAATTCATTAGACCTGCTGCTGATCTCCCACTAATATAACACACCCTATTCATAATGAAGTACTTGCCATTCTCCAAACAGGCTCTTCCCTCCCATTTACCTCTTTGGGGCATATCAGTTTCATAAACCTGAAATGTCCTAGTCAGCTTTGTGTTTTACCTGATGTGTTAGTTCATTTTTATGCTGCTAATAAAGACATACCAGAAACTGAGTAATTTATAAAGGAAAGAGGTTTAATTGACACAGTTCAGCATGGCTGGGAAGCCTCAGGAGACTTACAATCATGGCAGAAGAGGAAGTAAATGTGTCCTTCTTCACATGGCAGCAGGAAGGAGAAGTGCTGAGCAAAAGGGGGAAAAGCCCCTTATAAAATCATCAGATCTTGTGAGAACTCACTTACTGTCACGAGAACAGCATGAGGGCAATGGCCCCCATGATTCAATTATCTCCACCTGGTCCTTCACATGACACGTGGGGATTGTGGGAGCCACAATTCAAGATGAGATTTGGGTAGGGACACAGCCAAACCATATCATCTGACAAAGTCCTATTCATTCTTCAAGTTTCAGGGAACATGTTTCCTCTTCTGACACATATATATTATATTCTGATACATATATATTATATATATATATAACATATGTATTATATGGAATCAGACTCTTATTTCTCCTCATTACTGCACCTTATTCACTTTATAACTTCTTATTCACTTTATAACTTTCAAAACATTGTTTTTCTAATTACTTCTTTTTTCAACTTTTAGTTTTGATGTAATTATACATTCATAGGAAGTTGCAAACAGGGTACAGAGGACACCCCTGAACCTTTCATCCAGCCTTCCTCAATGGTTATATTTTACATTGCTGTAGTAAAATATGAAAACAAGAAAGTGACATGGTACAACGTATGTTTATAGTTCTATGCTATGTTATCACACGTATAGACTTGTGTCACCTCCACGAGTCTAGCTGCATCACCGCATAATCTTTATGCTACTCATTTGTAGTCGCCCCCACCATCCACCCTACCATCTGGAATCCATAATTTCTCCTCAATCACCATAATTTTTCATTTTGAGAATGTTATAGAAATGAATCATATAGTACATGACCTTCTGAAATAGACTTTTTTAAATATAATGCCCTTCAAATATAATTGATATGTTAGAAATTATTTCTGTCATTTTATTTTTTATTCTCTGTTTTATCCTTTTTTGCTTCTATTTTCATTTTTTTCCTGCATTTCTATCGGTTACTTGAACTTGTTTTTAGTTTCATTTTGATTTATCTATAGTGTTTTATATATATTCCTTTGGATAGCCTTTTTAAAAGTTGCTCTAGGTATTACATTATATACACATCTTGTTACAGTCATTGGCCAACAACATTTTATCAGTTCAAATGAAACCTGCACGCTCTCTTTGAACCCCTTTACACTCTCCCACTTATGTCTTAAAATTTTCCTCTACATGCATTGAGAATAACATCAGACAGTGTTGTTAGAATTTTTGCTTCAATCATCAAATATAATTTAGAAAACGAAAGAGTTGAAGAAAAGCCTATTATATTTTCCCATAGTTTTATTCTTTCCATAGTTATTCTTCCTTTCTGATGTTCCAAGATTTCTTCTTTTATCATTTCCTATCTGTTCACAGAATTTTGTTTAGCCATTATTTTAGGGTAGATCTGTTGGAAACAAATTCTCTTAATTTTCCTTCACCTGAGAATGTCTTCATTGTTCCTTTACTCCTCATAGTTAATTTCACTAGCTATAGAATTCTGGGTTGACCGTTCTTTTCTTTCAGCATTTAAAAAATATTGTGCCCCTTCCTTCCGGCTTTCATATTTCTAATAAGAAATCTGTCATCTACATGGTTTTCCCCTTTAGGTGTTATTTTTCTCTGGCTGCTTTCAAGGGATTTGTCTTAGTTTTCAGAAATTTTCTTATGATATGTTTTGATATGGATTTCTTTGATTTCATCTTTATGGTTTTTTTTTCAGCTTCTTGAATCTGTTGTAGGTTTATGTCTTTTGCCAAATTTGGGTAGTTTTCAGCTATTATTTATTTCCTCAAATGCTTTTTCAGGCCCATTCTATTTCTCCCCTTTCTGAGACTCTGATGACACAAATGTTAGAGCTTTTAACCATAGTCCCACAGGTCTCTGTGATTGTGTTCATTTCTTTGCTCAGTCTATTTTCTCTCTGTTGTTCAGACTGGGTAATTTGTATTGTTCTGTATTCAAGTTTAATGATTCATTTCTCTATCCTTTTCATTTTGCTTTTGAGGCCATCCAGTGAGTTTTTATTTCAATTATTACATTTCCATTTAGCTATCCTTTATGTTTTCAACTTCTTTATTGACACTTTCTATGTTTTCCAAGAGTGTTTATTAATTTTTGTGAAAAGAGTTTTATCATGACTGCTTTAAAATCCTTCTAGCATCTGTGTCATTTCAGTGTTGGCATCTGTTGATTTTTTTGTCATTCAATTTGAGATTTTCCTGGTTCTTTGTAAAATGAGCAATGTTTTCTTGACATCTAGGAGTTTAGAGCTTTATATTACAATACCACGGTTTTTATTTTTTTAATTTTTTATAAGTTCAACTTTTATTTTAGATTTAGGTGGTACACATGCAGGTTTGTTCCATGGGTACATTGCATAATGCTGAGGTTTTGGATACAAATGATCCTGTTACCCAGGTACTGAGCATAGTACCCAATAGGTAGCTTTTCAACCCTTTCCCCCTCCCTTTCTCCTCCTTCTAGTAGTCCCCAGTGTCTATTGTTCTCATCTATGTCTATGTGTAGCCAATGTTTAGCTCCCACTTATAAGTGGGAACATGTGGTATTTGGTTTTCTGTTTCTGTGTTAACTTCCTTAGGATGATGGCCTCCAGCTGCATCAATGTTGTTGCAAAGGACATGATTTTATTCCTTGTTATTGTTGTGTAGTATTCCATGGTGTATATATATACCATATTTTCTTTCTCAGATCCATTGTTGATGGGCACCTAAGTTGATTCTATGTCTTTGCTATCGTAAATAGTGCTGCAATGAACATGAGTTCATGAGTCTCTTTGGTAGAACAATTTATTTTCTTTTGGATATATACCCAGTAATTGGATTGCTGGGTCAAATTGTTGTTCTGTTTTAAGTTCTTTCAGAAATCTCCACACCATGTTCTATAGTGGCTGGAACTCATACACATTTCCACCTACAGTGTAAAAGCATTCCCTTTTCTCCACAGATACTATGGTGTTTATTTAAACCTTGTATTTCAGCAGGCCTCCTCTGCCATCATACCAGCAAGGGAAGGTGGATATCTCCTCACTAGTGCCCAATGAGGGTTGAAGTCCAGGTTCTCCACTTGGCCTCCACTGACGTTCTAGCAGGGGAGAGGAGACTCATCCCTTCTGTTCCCCAGGTATCTCCACTGACCCTATGGTAGGGAGTCCTTGCTACTCTTGCCAGATGGTGGTAAAAGTCCTAGCTACCCTTTTGGCCATCTACAACAACAATGGTAGATAGGGCAGATGAGTGGTGGCTTGCAACCACCACTGCACAGCCACAATGTGGCTACAATTTTCACATAAATAAGAAATTAGTTTGACAAAGATATGCCATATGACAAATGTTATACAAGATGCTGAGAATGAAAGATTAGTTTCACATACTTCTCAAAACTATGAGCTGTGACAGACTTCTAAGGTTGCCACCAAACTGTCAGTCCTTGCAAGAGAAACTTGTCCTGCCTGAATGGATAATTTATCTGCAACTTCTTTCTTTTATTTATTTTGGAGACGCTAAACTCTGAAGAGAGAGAGACCCATAAATTAATATTTCAAAACACTTGGAGAATTCTAATGCTAAGGAAGCCATTGCAATCAATAATCAGAATAGGAATTTACCCAAGATTAAATTCATTTTATTGAACAGCTTGATAGAAACTTTAAAATAACTACATTATGTATGTTAAGGAGATAAACAAAGGCATAATTGCCGTCTTAAAAAGGATATAATGTCTTGAAACAACAACAACAAAAGAAATAAAGCAAAATCAAGTGGGTCAATTGATTCCAAGAATCAATTAGATAATTTGAACATCAAACATACATTAATCATTGAAATTTTAAAACTACACTAGAAGGGGCAACTTCTAATCTGAATTCTGAAAAAAAAAAACTAATTAGTAAATTGGGAAAATAATACTGAACCGCTCATGCAGAATGCAGTATAGAAACTCAAAAAGAAAAAATATTGAAGAGAAGTTAAGAGAATGGGATACAGATCAAGAATTCTAAATACCAAATATTTCATAGAAATTACAGAAGCAGAGAATGGAAAGAATGGTAGAAGGTGACATTTGAAGAATTAATTGCTAATAATATTTCAAAATTTATTAAAGTATAAATTTAATTTTTTTTTTAAATGATGGAGTCTCACTCTGTTGCCTAGGCTGGAGTGTGGTGGCATGATCATGGCTCACTGTAGCCTCAAACTCCTGGGCTCAAGTAATCCTCCTGCCTCAGCCTCCAGAGTAGCTGGGACTACAGGCATGCACCACTATGCCCAGCTAATTTTTCTTTTTTTTTTAGAGATGGGGTCTCACTATGTAGCCCAAGCTGGTCTTGAACTCCTAGCCTCAAGCTGTGCTCCTGCCTCAGCCTCCTGAGTAGCTGGGATTACAGGTATGAGCTACTACACCCTACTAAAACATGAATTTTAGATCACAAATTTGCTTCAAGACTGAAGCAAGAAATAAAAATAAATTAAAATAAAATAAACCCTTACGTGGTCACATAACGAAAATGTATTAAAATGCATCAAGAATAAAGAGAAAAATCACAAAAGCTAGCAAAGGAAAAGAAAAACATTGATAGATAAATTTCTCACAGATAACAAAGGCCAGAAGACAATGGAGTGGTATCTTGTAAGTGTTGCATGACAATAATAGTCAATCTAGAATCTTTTACCTAATCATAATATTATTTAATCTTTAAAGCAAAATCTTATGCAAAGAGTAAAACACTACATAATAAATGCTCACTAAAAGAAATCTTAAATAATGTTTTAAAAGACATAACAGTGACCACAAATTTTTTTAAAATTGTACGTAGTTTTGAGCAGGTAGCACATTATGTTAATTATGTCTGGCCTAAAACTCTCCTTACATGTTTAAGGTCAGCCTAAAGGTTTCTCCATACATAACGAACTCTAACCCAACCTGATGTGTAAACAGACTGTAATCTACTCTTGAAAAGAGTAGCTGAGCTCAGCCTATCACAGCAGCTGAACTTCAGTCAACCACAGGCAGCCAACTGTTTAAACCAGGTTCACATAAGGCAAACACCTAGCTGTAACCAATCCAGCTGTTTCTGTACCTCACTTCCATTTTCTTTATGTTTTTGTCCATAAACACTATCCGACCATGTGGCAGCCCTGGAGTCACTCTGAACTGATTCTGGTTCTGAGGGCTGCCCAATTTATGAGTCATTCTTTGCTAGTTAAACTTTGTTAAATTTGTCTAAAGTTTTCTTTTAACACATTCATATGGTGACAAATGCTAAAAGCTTACAGAGTATACCATTAGTAGTCTTGCTCCCACCACTATACATCTGGTTCTGCTTCCCAAGACATCAGCGTTGCCAGTTTCTTTATCTTTCCAAGCACAGGTATTTCATACATAAGATTTCATACATATGCAGATTAAGTATCCCTTATCTGAAATGCTTGGGGCTAGAAATGTTTAGAATTTCAGATTTTTTTGAATTTTAGAATATTTACATGTAGATAAAATGAGATATCTTGGGGATGGGATGCAAGTCTAAACACAAAATTTATTTATGTTTCATATACACTTTATATACCTAGCCTGAAAGTAATTTTATACAATACATTTAATAATTTTGTGCATGAAACAAAATTTTGATGGTAATTTTACTGAGACCCATGATATAAGGTCAAATGTAAAATTTTTCACTTGTGTCATCATGTCAGTGCTCAAAAAGTTTCAAATTTTGGGGGATTTCAAATTTTGTATTTTTTAATTAGAGATGCTTTACCTGTATTTGAATACATAGAGATATTTTGTGCAAATGATAGTATACTATATGTTCTTTTCTACATTTTGCTTTTTCACTTAAATATATGACATGAGAAAGACAGGAAGTAATATTCACACCAAATTTTTCTTGCAATTATTTCTACATATAGTAGAGACTACAAAATTGGAAGCTACTCTACCTAACCTAAATGATCTTGAAAATTACTTCTACTCCTGCCTATTTCCCAACTAACTGTTTTTCACAAAGGGCTCTTTATGTTCAAAAGGCCTTGTCCACAGGTAAAAACTAATTATTAGGTGATGTCATAATTACAGGTAATCATAGCTTGTCTATTTTATATAGTCATTTTAAAAACAACAACAGAAATCTCCCTTTGACACTATTACCAAGATAATGGAATAATATCTAGTGGTTAATAATATCTAGAGGTTAAAGTGGTAAAGAAAGCCTGAAATATTTGAAGGAGAGAGCTTTAGTTTTTTTGAAATGAGTCGGAAAACAATATTATCTTCCACTATAAAAGTAAAGTGGCTTTGCTTCAAAAATGGATATTATTCCTGTCTCTGTCCCTTTAATGTCGTTGTAACAGAATACCTGAGACTGCATAGTTTACAAAGATACAATGTTTATTTAGCTCGTGATTCAGCAGTCTGGGAACTTCAAGAGCAAAGCACCACATCTGGCCAGCTTCTGGTGAGGGCCACATGCTAGGTCAAAACATGGAAAAGCGGAGAAGCAAGTGGGCATGTACAGAGATCACATGGTGAGAGAGGAAGTGAGAGAGATTCTAGCCAGCCAAACTCACTTTTTTAAAAAAGAGATGAGGTCTCACTGTGTTGCCCAGGCTAGAGTGCAGTAGCTACCCACAGGCACGATCATATCACACTACATCTTCTTACTCCTGAGCTCAAAAGATCCTCCCACTTCAGCCTCCCAAATAGCTTGGACTACAGGTGTGTGCCACTCCACTGGGCTCCAAACTCACTTTTATAACAACCCACTGTCACAGTAGCTAATCTAGTCCTGTGAGAATAACCCACTCACATCCATGGGAGGACACTAATCTATTCATGAGGAATCCACCTGCGTGACCCAAACACCTCCCATGAGGCCCTACTTCCCCATACCACCACATTGGGATCAAAGTTTTAGAGGGGACACACTCAAACTATAGCAATCCTTTTAAAAATCTAGAAATTTCATTGCAGGCAATTTCATAACAAACTGGTTTGTTGAAGCATCTCAGGGTTGGTTTTATTTTATTTTTTGAAGTTTTCTCCTTTTCTTTTTCTGCCTCTTCAGAATGTCCAGGGGCCAATTTAACATATGATGCACATTGCTTGCCTTAGCTGAAGATTTCTAGTACACTTTATAAAGAATTCTCGTGGGAACCTAGAAGACTTGAAAACTCTAATGTCAGTAAGTCTAATTTCATTGTTTTGACACTAATTTAATCTTTTCTCTTGGCTGCATGTGTCTGTAGAGCCTTCAGAACAAAGGGTTTTTAACATTGCTTTATTCTTGGTGGTAAAACTTTGGAGAACAAGCCTATTGAGGATATTATCTGCCAACAGTAAGCCACAATCTTCCTCAGTAAGTTATATCCAGAGACTGAGTTGGCCAAGGAGATCCTGGAGAATTTGGAGTATACCTTTGTTAAAGGTATACATTTCCCCACTGAACAGACCAATATCAAGTTCCAAAATTGAGTCAGTAATAAAAACCCTACCAATCAAAAAAAAAAAGAAACTACCCAGACCAAATGGATTCATAATAGAATTCTTCCAGATGTACAAAGAAAAGCTGATACCAAGACTGCTGAAACTATTTTGAAAAATCAAGGAGAGATTCCTCTCTAACTCATTCCATGAAGCCAGCATCACCCTGATACCAAAACCTGGCAAATACACAACAAAAAAAGGAGACTAGAGCCAATATCCCTGATGAACATAGATGCAAAAATTCTCAATAAAATACTAGTAAACCGAATTCAGCACCACATCAAAAAGTAAATTCAACATGATCAAGTAGGCACCATTTCTGGGATACAAAGTTGGTTCTATATATTCAAATAAATAAATGGGATTCACCACAAAAACAGAATTAAAAACAAAAACCATATGAGCATCTCCATAGATGCAGAAAAGGTTTTTGATACAATCCAACATCCCTTGGTGATTAAAAAACCTCAAGAAACTAGGCATCAAAGGAGCAAACTTCAAAATAGTAAGAGCCATCTAGACAACCTCGTAGCCAACATCATACTAAATAGACAAAAACAGAAAACCTTCTCTTTGAAAACCAAAGCAAGAGAAGGATACCCACTCTTACCACTTCTATTCAACATAGTACTGGAAGTGCTAGCCAAAGCAATCAGGCAAGAGAAAGAAATACAAGGCATCCAAATAGGAAAAGAAGTTGAACTATCTCTCTTCACGGATGATATGATTCTATACCTAGCAAACCCTGAAGACTCTGCTAAAAGTCACCTGGAGCTAATAAATGACTTCAGTAAAGTTTCAGGATACAAAATCAACGTACAAAAATCAGTAGCATTTCTATACACCAATAACATTCAAGCTGAAAGAGAAATCAAGAATGCAATCCCATTTACAAGAGCCACACACACACAAAAATAAAAAATCATAGGGATATATCTAAATAAGTAGGTCAAAGCACTCTACAAGGAGAACTACAAAACACTGCTAAAAAATTTTACAGATGTCACAAACAAATGGGAAAAATTCCATGCTCATGGATTAGAAGAATCAATATTATTAAAATGGCCATACTTTCCAAAGCACTCTACAGATTGAACACTATTCCTATCAGACTACCAATGTCATTTTTTACAGAATGGGAAAGAAACTATTCTAAAAGTCATACGGAACCAAAAAAGCATCCAAATAGCCAAAGCAATCCTAAGCAAAAAGAATAAAGCTGAAGACATCATATTACCTGACTTCAAACTACATTAGAAGGCTACAGTAACCAAAATAGCATGGTACTTGTACAAAAACAAACAAATAAACGGATGGAACAAAATAGAGAACTTAGAAATAAAGCTGCACACCTACAACTATCTGATCTTTGACAAAATTGACGAATATAAACAATGGAGAAAGCTCTCCCTATTCAATAAATGGTGCTGGGATAGCTGCCTAGTCATGTGCAGAAGAATGAAATTGGACCCCTACCTTTCACCAAACACAAAAATTAACTCAAGGTGGGATTAAGCCTACAATTGATCTTTGACTAATAGGAGTTTTAAGTGTGTTAAAAATCTATACTGGACAGTGTCAAGAAATTACCAGAGAAAGAGAAGCTTATGAGCTCGCCAAACAAGGATTTCATGGTAGATTTTCTCTCTCTCAAATGAACTTAAAGGAACAAATGACAGTTAAAGTTTGAATGGAAGAGCCTGCCATTGTTCCACATCTTGTTGTTGCTGTTTACATTCCTTTGTGGAGCCTACATCTTCCTAAGTTTTCTAGCAAGTATATGTTGAACACTTCTGTTTTACGGTTAAGACAGAGTCAGAGGCCATGGATACTGACAACTGATAACTGTCTGTTTTTTTCTGTCTTTTTCCATGACTCTTATCTACTGCTTCATCTTGATTTATAACAAAACCTGAAAAACCTACAAAAATAAGTTTATCTAGAAAAATATGGAAAATATTGTGTTATTGTTGGTGAAGAAAAACAATTTTGTATAGTTTATTTCAATCTAAATAAAATGTGAACTTTGTTTAAAAAAAAAAAAAGATGAGATTAAAGATTTCAATGTAAGACCTCAAACTATAAGAATCCTAAAAAAAAACATCTAGAAAACCACCATTCTGGACATGGGCCTTGGGAAATAATTTATAATTAGGTCCTCAAAAGCAACTACAACAAAAACAAAAATTGATAGGTGGGACATAATTAAACTAAAGAGTTTCTGCACAGCAAAATAAACTATCATTAGAGTAAAAAGACAAACTACAGAATGGGAGAAAATGTTCGTAAGCTATGCATCTGACAAAGGTCTAATATGCAGAATCTATAAGGAACTTAAACAATTGAATGAGCAAAAACACATAACCGTATTAAAAAGTGGGCCAAAGACATGAAACATTTCTCAAAAGAAAACATAGAAGCAGCCAACAACATATGAAAAAAATCCTACACGTGATTAATCATCAGAGAAGTGCAAATCAAAACCACAATGAGATTATCATCTCATACCAGTCAGAATGGCTATTATTAAAAAGTCAAAAAACAACAGATGTTGGTGAGCCTATGGAGAAAAACGGAACAATTATACACTGTTGGGGGGAATGTAAATTACTTCAGCCACTGTGGAAAGCAGTTTGGAGAGTTCTCATAACACTTAAACGGAACTACCATTTGACCCAGCAGTCCTGTTACTAAGTATATATCCAAAAAAAAAAAACCAAATCATTCTACCAAAAATCACATACATTTGTATGTTCATTGCAGCACTATTCGCAAGAGCAAAGACATGAAATCAACCTAGGTGCCCATCAATGATGGATTAGATAAAGAAAATGTGGTACATACGTACCATGGAATACTACAGTGCTATGCAAAAGAATGAGATAATGTACCTTGCAGCAACACAATGCAGTTGGAGGCCATTATCCTAAGTGAATTAACACAGGAACAGAAAACCAAATACCACATATCTCACTTATAACTGGGAGCTAAACATTGGATACTCATGGACATAAGGATGACAACAATAGAAACTGGGGACTGCTATTTGGAGAAGGGGACGGGGCACAAAGGTTGAAAAACTGACTATTGGGTACTATGATCAGTACCTAGGTGATGGAATCATTTGTACCCCAAACCTCAGCATCATGCAATATACCTAGGTAATGTATTCTTGAATCTAAAATAAAAGTTGGAAATAATTAATCAATTAATTAAAATTAATGTTTTAAAAAGCAAATCAGGAGACCAAAAAAAAAAAGATATGTTTCCTCTATTGTTTGCCCAAAATAATGTCTGAAATGAAAAAAAAAAAAAGGTATCCGTAACTATCAGTGGCAGAACTGAAGGAAGCAACATCAAATCAATAATGATTTTTGAAACCTAAATGGTCTCCAACCACCTGGAGATGTCAAATTGCTTTAACCTCTCATGCAGTGGCTCTCTAGAGTGCTGTGTTGAAAATGATCCTGAAGCTGCATGCATGCTGCATGGAAAAGTGTGTGATTATTCATAAGCAATGTCTGCCAGGAACAAAGAGAGAGGAATAGTAGCTTATATGTCATTAAGTTACTACTCCTGTGCTAGGGGTTCAATTTTAGCAACAACTACTAAAGACACTTATTATGCTGGAAACTTTCGATCTGGAAATGTAATGTTTAGTAGCTCCAAATAAACATACACCAATCAGAAGAAAGCAGGAAATTTGCTCATTTGAATGGATAGATGTGTATAGGGTAACATCCCTGTAATGCTGGTTTTTTAAAATGAATATTGTTGTTCATAATTAATGCTTGATCAATTAAAGAATGAGCTGAATGAGCAAAAATAAACTCATAATACCAGAGTGCATGTGGCAGGCTACTGATTGACCTCCAAATTCTGTTTCCCCTTCTATAATAACAGAATTTCAGCTAGGCAAGAAAACACTCAACTATGCTTTTCACAACATCCCTTGTGACTAGTTGTGGTAATAACTAATTCCATTTCTTTCCAGTGGAATGTGAATGAAAATGATATGTGCAAATTTTATCTTACTTGCTTCAAAGAGAATAACTTGTCCTTTACTTATCTTTCCCTTTACATGGGCTGGAATGTCAAATGTGGCAGTGACTTTGCTTCAAATCTGCAATCAAGAGCAACATCCCAGAAGGTGTTAATTCATTTCATTATTTAATTAATTAATATAAATGAGCCAGGCCTAAGGCCCTGAATGAATGCACGGAGCAGAGCTGCTCTGGCAGCTTGGACCATTCTCCTCTGGACTATTATTTTAGATAAAAATAAATTTTTACCTTGTTTAAGCATCTATATCTTTGGGTATCTTTTTATTCCAGGAGCTTTCACCCAAAGCCTAACTAGAGTAGTAATCAACAGGCAGTAGGATGTGTAAGCAAAGAGTCAGGAAAATGGTGACAGAGAAGTCTAGTGTATCAGTCCGTTCTCACCTGGCTATAAAGAAATACCTGAGACTGGGTAATTTATAAAGGAAATGGGTTTAATTGACTCACAGTTTCCCATGGCTGGGGAGGCCTCAGGAAACTTACAATCATAGCGGAAAGGGAAGCAAACATGTCTTTCTTTACATGGCGGCAGGAGAGGGAGTGAGTGCCCAGCAAAGGAGGAAGCCCCTTATAAAACCACCAGATCTCATGACAACTCACTCACTATTATGAGAATAGGGTGGGGAAAACTGAGCCCATGATTCAATTATCTCCATCTGGTCCCTCCCATGATACATGGGGATTATGGGAACTACAATTCAAGATGAGATTTGGGTGGGGACACAGCCAAACCATATTATCTAGCATACCTAACAAGGTCCCTATGTGGCTAGTGGGATTCTGGAGCATAAGGCAAAGCCCTGCATGCTCTTGAAGGGTAAAAGGACTTGAGCTCTGAGTAATGTTGAGCACAACACACCTAACTAAATCAGTACATTCAGCCAAGAGGACAACAAGTAGAACCAGGTTGGGCATGGTGGCTCATGCCTCTAATCCCAAACCTCTGGGAAGCAGAGGAGGGAAGATCGCAGGAGCCCAGGAGTTTGAGGCTGCAGTAAGCTGTGATTGCACCACTGCACTCCAGCCTGGGTGACAGAGCGAGACCCTGTTGGAAAAAGAGAAAACAGAGGGGCCAGTTACTTAGTCAGAGTAGGATAAGCAGGGAGGCTGACTTGATGCTAAGCTCTCTAAATTGCTTTTATTAGTAATTCTCCCCTGCTTAAGAGTTCAGTTGGTCTCAGAGATTGGGCATGAATGAGGCTATAGATGGGAGTTAAGACATCCCATTTGTGAAGGTTGCAGGATCTTGTGTCACTATTTGAATTCTTGTAAAATTCCCATTTTTGTTCATATCCTTGTATCCTGCTACCTTACCCACCAGCCACCTCTACTGGGCCTGCTCTGAGACCTCCAGTTCAAATATCCTTCCCAGTCTCAGGGCCTTCTGAGCTTAGATGGACCCTTGGTTAGCCAAAGCAAAGATTCTTTGGGTGACACCATGCATTTTCTTTCCCTTATTATCCACTTGAGGTAAAAATGATCTATAATGAATTTTAAATTGAAAATGTATTTGTTGGCCACTTATTTATTTGCAAATCTACTTCTCCTATCCTATTCTATTCCTCTCAATGACATCATCCATTCCAGATTCTTCTCTTCCACCCCACCCACCATAACCCTTTAAGAAATACCTCCTGGACCATCCTCTCTGACACTGTCTAGACAGGCCTCCTAAGAACTTCTTAACTTATCTTCCTTGTTCAAATCTCTCCTTCTTCCAGCCTAAGCTATACCTGCCAGATTATTCTTCATAAAATACAGATTTGATCGTATTTCTTCTTCCCACCCCTCCAAAATAAACCTCACGTAACTATCCATTTCTTCAGAAGATTATAACCAAAGTTTTTAATCTTTTCAAAGTTTAAACCCCCTTGAAAGCCCAAAGTTTAAAAACCCTCTACAGATCCTCCCAGCTTTGGCTTCCACCATTTTTTCACAGGATCAACACAAAGGCCCAGTGTAAGCCAGTTCTCCTGATTTTAGACCCCAAACTGTGAGAAAATGAGTTTGGTGTTAGTCTCACCCTGAACTTCATGGTCTGACCTTTGGGAAAGTTCACTGTAAGTCTACCGCCTAAGCCTTCATATTTTATAGAAAATCTTGCTTTTGTGAGACACAAAATTGTGAGAAATAATGACAGAGATTTCTACCTTTTATTGTATTAGTCAATGTGCCCACAGTCTGTGAAGAATTTGGACTTTCAATAATATTCTCCCTGTATCACTGTACAAAGTTATTTTCCCTAGGCTTTAGGGGAGGATGACTTTTATTTACTATTTTCAGTGTGAAAGTGTGTTATGATCATATTCTGCCATGTTGACTGTATGGTGCATTATTTTCAGGTTACCCTCTCTGTCTATCAACTTTCCTTATCTTTGTGGCTCCTAATCTTTGTAACCAGCTTCCATCAACAAAGTCAAGCTGCAGAAAATAAACTACAGATAAGGCTCACTGACGTGGTAATGGGGTTTTCACTGCTTCCCTTTAATTTTCTATTTCAATAATTCTTGCTGCCAGAAATTTCCTTTTGATGCTCAAGTCAGAAAATCCTTTGATGAAAACAGCAACTTACCACATTAAAATATAAAAGCTAGCAACTTCTTAGTACCTCATTTATTCTTTTGGACTTTACTGCCTTTCACGTATCAGTGATTTTTTTTTTATCTTTCAGTTACTCTTCACATGTATATAGTTAAGGTGTATTATTTCTATTATTTGTGCTTGATCAACAACTTACTTCACTGAATTGTTTTGAGAGCTCATTAAGATTTTCTTTATCTTATCCTATCATAAAGACCCTACAAATTAAATCCATTGCATATGCAGCATAGCACTTCTTGTTCTTATTAACAGCTTTAATGCATTTGTTAAAATTTTATCTTACATGTCCATCTACTCTCATTCCTGTGTCACCTTTACTTTCTTAGATGGCTGAGGATTGAGATAAGTGTGGAATTGCTAAGGCATTGTGTTTATTGCAATCTTACAGGGCCACTTTGTTCTACTGAATTATATTGAAAGTTGCTTCCTATAAGATACAGCCAAGGGAATCACACCACGCCATGTTACTTCTCCTCCAAGTTCACCTGTTCTAAGTCTCCCTAGCAACCTAACAAGAAGCCCCTTGATACACCTGAAATCCAATATGCCCCTCACTGAACTTCCCATTCTCTTTCGTTACACATCTGCTCCAACTCTTACTCCTACCATTATCACCCTAATCTGTGGTCTTCAAAATAAAAGCAATCCTTGCCAAGTGCAGTGGCTCATGCCTGTAATCCCAGCACTTTGGGAGGCTGAGGTGGGTGGATCACTTGAGGCCAGGAGTTCGAGACCAGCCTGGCCAGCATGGTGAAAAACCTCATCTCTACTAAATACACAAAAATTAGCCAGGCATGATGTCACGCGCCTGTAGTTCCAAATACTTGGGAGGCTGAGGCACGAGAATCCCTTGAACCTAGGAAACAGAGGTTACAGTGAGCCAAGATCACACTGCTACACTCCAGCCTGGGTGACAGAGCCAGACTTTGTCTCAAAAACAAACAAAACAAACAAACAAACAAAAAAAACCGGCAAACTTTAGACAAGCATTCAAGCCCATCTTCAATCTGGTTACACTTATACTTCTAGTCTTATTTCCCATCCGTCCCTTTATGTGTCATACATTCTAGCCAAACCAAACGATTGGTTATTCTTCCTTCACATACATTCGTTAGCTCTATTCCCTTGTTGCACCTTCAGAAAATAATTATATTCTCTTGCCCCCATTTTTTAATGTCCAAATCCTATTCATCTTTTAAAGCTAAATTCAAACCCCTCATCTGAAACGCTGCATTTTATAATCCTAAATGTACTCTCCTTCAAACTGCCATGGCATTTGTCTATATTTCTTACATGTATGCCACATTCTTTAACTTTGGTGATTTATGGATGTACATTCTTTCTCTTACGGGACTGCAACTTCTTGAGGGCCTAATCCATTTTCTTATGAAATCATCTTTTTCTCATTCTCCACAATGACTGGCAAGTATCTTACACAGAAAAGGGAAGCACTTTCATTGTTGCATTTTCCTAATTACTTCATGTTTTAGCACTCTAGAGGTTTATATTATTTTAGGCCACTTTATAGGTGAGTAAATGTATCATCAGAAAAGTGACTTGCCCTTGGATGTGGTCAATAATATTTAAATGATTGAATGCATGTTTGAGAAATAGACCACTATACATGAGATTTGGAGGGGTTTTATACTATGTAAAAGATATGCCTCATCAGCTGAGAAAATTCACAAGCACAACTGAGATACAGTTCTGTTCTTGTCTTGTCTTTGTGAACTGCTTCCATAAAGTGGGTAAATGAAACTAGCATGCTCACCTATGATTTGCTCCTGTGATGAGACAGGTATCACAAAACACCTGCTGAATTGGTAGGGATAAAGAGAGGCATACGCTTACATATGCAACCAGGTTGGCAGTGATGGTTAGGCATTATTCTTTTGGGGTAAGCACTTTGACTCAGCTATCAGTTAAGAAAGGAGGCGACCGCTCTTTTTTGCTGGAAAAATGAATGTGTCTTCCTAGTGTGACTTAGGTATTTTCCTGATGATTGCAGATGGGTGAACTGACTGATAGCATGGCTTGAGTTCAAATTGATGAATGGGAAATTGATGTTCATGGTCACGCTCAGCTTTCTGATTGTAGATGCCAAACAGGAAAGTTTCTCAGCCTTTACATTTTAAAAAGCAGTACTCACAGTGAGGGAAGAAAGGAAGGGGGCCATTACCTGGCAATGGAAAATGCTCCCTTAGACTCTTCCTAGCTATCTCAGTGAGGAGTGTGACTGGGAAATGGCACATCCTTCTCCTCAAACTATAAAGATTTGTCCATGAGCTCATCTAATCCAATGTCATCATTTTACTATTGGAGAAACTAAGGTGATGTGACTTGCCCAAGATTACGACAAATACATTGGTCAGGGCTCCAATGTTGCTTCCAAAGCATAGAGTGGAAGAAAGTTGAAGAAGCTTCTATGTTGATTATAAGAGGAAGAATAGAACCTCATTCAAGCCAAAACCCAGTGTCAGGGATACTTAACATCTCTTCTAGGGAAAATGGCATGGGTTGTGAACAAAGACATACAATATATTTTCTAATTCTGCCATTCACTAGCTGTTTGCCCTTAAGCAAAGAGGCTTCCTCATTTGTAAGAAGTGATTTTTGTAATTACTTTCTTTACAGGGTTGTACTAAGGATTGCAAAAGATAAGCCATTTAGACAAGGCCTGGCACATGGTAAGAGATCAATAAAAGTTGATGCTAGCTTCAATTAGTTTAATGTTGAAATTCAAAAAAATAAAATTAAGAAATTGAAAGGAAAAAGAAAGCCAAGAAATGTCTATTTCAAACAGTAGAGGTCTATAAAGACAATCTGAATCATATCCAGTTTCTTGGACAGGTAACAGAGGATCTAAAGGAATCAATATAATTTTTCATTAAATGTTTAAGACATATGGAAAATCTAAGCCTGGCCTTTTTCTCTTTACCCAGAGAACACTCTAGCCACAATAAAACTTGGAGCATGATCAATCTAGTATCTTCAATAGGGTTTCTGGTGTGTGCATACTTTCACATAACTTGGTCTGAAGGTCTCTCGCTGGAGTCTCTCACCACCTTTGTCTAATGGGCAGCAGCTGCCTGGAAACAATCTTTCCATATTACTCACCTTATCACACCACAATAAAACATCTCTCCTCATTCTACCCTGGGATGACTATCTGTCCTTCTTGCTATTTGTAATGTTGACAGTCCGTTTTAGGATAGTTTTTTCTACACCAGGTGGTTCTGCCTTTTTAGCGTTTTCCACTGAATAGCTAATTTCTCCCTGAGTTTATCTGAATTTTACTTTGTTTCTTTATGAACAACACATTTGAATGTTCTACTCTCTCGGACTCCTACTTGGCAGCAATAATGAAAAGAAGCTGTCTGCCCTGGGAATTGGCATAGAGATAGTGGTGTCATCATTGATGGTTCAAAGCTTGTCATACCCATCTAGATGAACCTGCTCCTTTTGTTGTTTTATAGCCAGGTTTCTGATTCAAGCTCCAAGTGAATTTTTGTACCAACAGGGTACTATTTTTTTTATACCATTCTCCTATTGGATAGACTTTACTGGATGTAGCGGAAAGGAGGTCAATAATATGGGTTTAGTCATTGTATCTTTAATTTTCTGAAAGTTCAGCCTTATACCATACCATATCTATCTATCTATCTATCTATCTATCTATCTATCTTTCTTTCTTTCTTTTTATTTCTGTACCTCTTTCCAACTCCTAAAGTTTCAGAGTGATGTTAATAAATTTCTGAGCCAATCTGATAAAGAAATAATTAATACTAAAAGAAAATATCGAGAGAAATGGCAAAAGTAATTATAAAAAGATCCCAATATCTGATATCCTTGTGGCTCTAATCTTAATATATTTTCCTAGATATTTGCTACCCACTGTTGGAATTTAAGGTAGAAATGATGTTATCAAAAGTATTGACTCATGGATATTTTTTCTTCTTCTCTACAAATTGGAGATTGAAGTATAACAAAATAAAAGCATAGACTTTATATATATTTATATATATATTTATAATAAAATAAAAGCATACTACATAGACTCAAAGTTGTCAATCCTGGTCTCAAGCTCTGGATCTGGCCCTAACTATGTGACCCTGAAATACACATGCATACACACATGTGCATATTTTATGTGTATGGGGTGTGTGTGTATATACATGTGTGAGTGTACATACATACCTAGTATACACATGTATATATACATGTCTTTAGTCATATATAGCTTGAAAAAATATACACCAAAACTGTAATGAAGATATTTTAGGGACTAATTAGAATAATTTAAGAAATTCACACATGTAAAATCAGAAGTAATTCAACAAAGGTAAAAGCTTGTTGCATTTTAAACACTATTGAAACCCATAGCTGGATAAGGGTCTGTGTGGGAGAGACTAACTGATTATTCATCAAACCTAACTCATCTTCTTGGCCTGAAAGTCAGACTATATTTCCCAGCCTCCCTTGGAGTTAGAGGTAGTCATATGACTAAGTTGGGGCCAATAGAATGTGAATGGAGGTGAGGTGAACCATTTCCAGGCTTGGCCCATAAAAACCTCCACCATGAGTCCTTCATTCTTTTACCCCTTCCAACAAGCACAGCCAACTTGGAAATCACATGTTGTAGATCTATGAAGCCTGAGTTCTAGCATCACTGCCTGGGGAATGCTGCCTGCCAATTAGAGCACCTGTTTAGGACGCTATGAGCAAGAAATACACTTCTATTAGGTTAAGTATGAGATTTGGGAGTTTATCTGTTAAAGCAGCAGGAGTAACAGATGGTGGACTCGAGGGGCAAGTTGCCAAGCTGCTGGAAGTAGAATTAGTCTAATTTTAGTTGGGAAGAGCCCAGTGCTGACAGTTAACTATGAAAATAGGTCTGTATGAGGCTTAGCCAAAGGCTAGTTGAAACATAATCTGGTCACATTAGTAGTGCCCACAGGAACAAATTCTGAGGTTCTTAGGGGACACTTCTGACAATCCTACAGCCCAGTAAAGGTTCACCTAAACCACAGGTGAATATCTCAAAGGGTCCTGAATATCCCTTTTAAAAAGTGTTTGCTCATGGAAATGTCCACTGTGGAATGATAATCCTGTAAATTCTAAATTAGGTGGAATTTTAACACCTAGAATTATCAAGAATGGTAGGTCTCAGACTATCTTCTTTAATTTAAACTCAATTTTTTTTATATTTGTGTGAAGCCTTAATTGACCATGGACTAAAACCATGCACAGCTACTACCCAACGTTTTTACTAACATTTTAACACCATTGAGAATAAATTGAGAAAAATCTCAGACAAAAGCTTATAAAAATAAACAATTTCAAGTTTAAATAATATCCACAAGTTAGCTCGTGGTAAGTCTAAACAGAAATCTAAGATCAAAAAATACTTCTTCTCCAAAATAAACTCTCCTAGAATTTCTTTTCTGTGTTGAAGACTCTTAAATGCCATTTAATATTTTCCACCTTATTATTCCTGAATGTGTAGCCCACAGAACTTCTTTCATTAAATTTCCTAAGTAGTTTTTTTAATAATAATTCAATAACTAAGAATCTAGCTCTTTTCTTTCTCTTTGTCTAAACTCTCATATATTTTACTAATTAATGCATCATTCCCCACATCAGATTATTAGAGATTTGACCCTCTGGCAGGGTCAAGCCCATGAAAATTAAAGCTAACCCAGGGAAAAGACCTGGGGCAAAAGCTGCTGCTTTTAGCATGACTGCCTGGTTACGCTACAAAACCTGTACCAGATGCTACTCAAGTGTCACACTATCACCCAGGCACACCGTAGCAGCAATGACATGGAATTAATAATATCAGTGAAGTATGATCCATAAAACTGAGTGAATACCAAAGTTTCTATTAGTATAATAACTAATGGCATCCAAATCTGATTTGTTCACTCAAAATTGCTCCAATTGGAGGATTCCAAATTATTCTAAACATAGTTCAGTATTATTACTGCCATACATGTTCCACCTGCTAAGCCCACAACTCCAGTGAGGACTTTGGCAATAAGGCCTGTCCTGATATTGGGCATTCCTCCATCCCGCCCAATAAACACATTGCCATTACACCTTTTAGAGTTCACTGGACTTCCCAAGGTCATATGTGGAGCATGCGCTGTTTTAGTGTTCTTATGTTTTCTAAATAAATAACTATGAATACATATAAAATAATCTTTCATTTTAGTTTCCAAGAATCATTTTAGTAAGTGTTCCAAACTGTCCCACTCAAAAATGAATGTGCCTGTCCCTTGATGGAAAAAAATACCCCTTTTTCTTTAGCAAGGGACAGGGGCACTCACTTTTGACTCAGAAGATTATAATAGGTACAATTTGTCATTTGCACTGAACAACTTCTGTATAACTAGTGGCTTTTGCTTTTCTTTTTTTTTTTTTTTTAGAAAGAGTCATGCTCTGTTGCCCAGGCTAGAGTTCAATGGCGAGTTCTTGGCTCACTGCAACTTCTGCCTCCTGGGTTCAAGTGATTCTTGTGGCTCAGCCTCCCAAGTAGTGGGGACTGCAGGTGCCTGCCACCACGCCCAGCTAATTCTTGTAGTTTTGGTAGAGATGGGGTTTCACCATGATGGCCAGGCTGGTCTCGAACTCCTGGGCTCAAGCAATCCACCTGCCTTGGCCTCCCAAAGTGCTGGGATTACCTTGCCCAGCCAGCTTTTGCTTTTTCATAATGGTAATGCTTTTTAAGTAGCACCCCTAAAAGAAAAACAATTTAAGCAGTGCATGCCATAAGAAAGCATACAGAAAAGATTTCTCCTCAGCTTTCTGACTCAAAATAAATTTGCCATACAATCAGATCTCGAAACAATAGATGCTATGCACACAACATCAGTCTCTAAAACAATAGTCTTGTGAGATTAGCAAATCATTATCTCTTGCTAATATCCTTATTTGTGATTCAAGTTTTCTAAAAATTTGTTCAGATTAGGATAAAGACATCTCACTGAACTGTATGATAGTGATTAAAAACTTATAACTAAATCATATAATGTCTTACATTTACAGAGTTGATCTAGACAACTTATCACTTAATATTAGTTCCCACAGGTTTAAAATTTCTGTCTCCATAGCAAACACATTTAAATGAGCGAGACATTTTTTGCCTGCTAATTCTAAGAGTTCTTCCTTTTGTTAAATAAAAATTATTTTTAATTAATATATCTGCCAAAAATTCTTAAGTTTCATGTTAATACTACAGTTTAAATTTAATATTAATACAACCTATATTATTCTACATGTGTTCCGCTTCTGATAAGAATTAAGACTATTGTTTCCACCATAAATATCCCTTTGCAGGTCTTTGTCTACAACCTGGAATTCAGGTTGAAATCCACCAAAGGAAAGCTTTGCTGATTGTGTTCAATGGGATTCCACCAGCTTCTTTTGCCAACTCTGATTTTACAAATAAGCAAACTGACGTTCATCTTCTATTTGCTGCAGCAGTCTTACCCTTCTCAGACATGAATCCTGAATTCAGCATTAACGCTGTCCTTCTAGTCTTGAGAATTACCTGCTCATTCCCTCCTCTGAATCCTTTATCTTAAGTATCTTGACTTCCAGTGTATAGGCCAAGAGAATCAATCAGGACACAAAAGTAGGTAGGCATGTATGCTTTTAGGACGTGTGGACAACCTGCTAAGATACAAAGTTCTGACATTTCTCCATCAAACCCTGGTCACTTCTTTTAGTAAGATTAGCAGGCCGGGCACGGTGGCTCACGCCTGTAATCCCAGAACTTTGGGAGGCCGAGGTGGGCCGATTACCTGAGGTCGGGAGTTCGAGACCAGCCTGACCAACATGGAGAAAACCCGTCTCTACTAAAAATACAAAATTAGCCGGGCGTGGTGGCGCATGCCTGTAATCCCAGTTACTCAGGAGGCTGAGGCAGGAGAATTGCTTGAATCTGGGAGGTGGAGGTTGCAGTGAGCTGAGATCACGCCATTACATTCCAGCCTGGGCAAGAAGAGTGAAACTCCATCTCAAAAAAAAAAAAAAAAAAAAAAATTCAGCAAGCTGGCTAGTGCATTCCCAGCACTGGAGACAGCTGGTGTCCTCTCCACAACTTCTCCCTATGCAGTGCCCTGATGTCTGCTCTCATATGTGAGTGATACAATCAGTATTTGTCTTTTGATGGGAATATATTTCATCTTTTTAATAAACAGGCTAGCCTTGTTTTATCAAATGGAAAGAGAAAATGAACATCAAAGGAGTGGAGATGTTTAAAGTTGAGCATCCCTTAAACAGGTCCCCAAAATAAAATGGGATTCGTGATTCTTTTAAATTCAAATCAAAATGTATTCAGGCTGGGCTCAGTGGTTCATGCCTTTAATCCCAGCACTTTGGGAGGCCAAGGCAGGAGGACTTCTTGAGCCCAAGAGTTCAAGACAAGCCTGGGCAACACAGCAAGACTCCATCTCTATGAAAAATAGAAAAATTAGCCAGGTGGTGGCACATGCCTGTGGTCACAGGTTCTTGGGAAGCTGAGATGGGAGGATCGCTTGAGTACAGGCATTCAAAGTTACAGTAAGCTATGACTACACCACGGCACTCTGGCCTGGGCAACAAAATGAGAACCTGTCTCAAAAAAAAAAAAAAAGTATTCATTTGCATCTGCAATGCATAGGCTCTGTGGCACACATACAATTAATTACCCTCAAAGGTATATAATCCTGTGGAAAGTGCCTTTCCTCAGGCCCTATGTCAATCTTATCATTGACTAAAATAGAGTTGTATATGACTCCTAAATATTATATCATAATCCACCTGAATTAGTTTTCTACTGCTATGTAGCAGATTCCCGCACATTTAGCTGCTTAAAACCAGACCCTTTTATTCACTCACAGTTCTGAGGGTCAGGAGTCTAGAGACAGCAAGGCTTGGTTTTCTGCACAGGATTTTACAAGGCTGAAATCAAGGAGTCAGGCAGCTCTGATGTCATCTGGAGCTGTCTTCAAGCTCATTCACTTTGCCGGCAGAGTTCAGATCCTTGTGGTTATAGGACTGAGGTTCCCATTTTCTTGCTGGCTGTCAGCTGGGGGCAACTCTCAGCTCTTAGAGCCTGCCCTCAATCTTGGAACAAACAGTGAACCCCTTCATCTGCAAAGCCAGCAGTGGAGAATGGCCCTGGTGTCAAATCCTCTCATTCATCCAACCTCTTTTTGCCAAAAAGAGTCCCATCACTTTTAAGGGCTCAGCTGATTAGGTCAGGCCCATAGAGGATAATCTCTATTTTGAGACCAGTGGACGTGAGAACTTAGATACACCTGCAAAATCCTTTGGTAGCAGCACTCATATTAGTGATTGATGGAATAACTAGGAAATATGTGCATATACCAGGGGCCAGCAATCTTGGAGGTTATTATGGAACTCTGCCTACTACCGTGCCAGAATGCAGCTTTTAAAATAATCTCCTTCTAGAGGATTTTGCTCAGTACAAACATTTCCTAACCTGCCTCCTCTTATACTTGCATATACATATAATTTTTCTATTGCTACTGTTATAAATTCCCTCAAACTGGCGGCTTAACCATTACAAATATATTCTTACAGTTCTGTAGATGAGAAGTCTGATGCAGGTGTTACTGGGTTAAAATTGAGATGTCAACAGGGCTGTGTTCTTTTCTGAAGCATTAGGGGATAATCTCTTCCCTATTCTTTTCCAGCTTCTAAAGTCTGCCCACATTCCTTGGTCTGCTCCCATCTTCAAAGTTAAGTTAAATGGTGGACTGAGTCCTTCTCATGCTACCATCTCTCTGGTTGTCTGCACAAGGGAAATGTTCTCTACTTTTAAGGACTCAAGCGATTAAGTTGAGCCCACCTGGATAATCCAAAATAATTTCTCTGTCTCAAGATTCGTTAACTTTATCATACTACAAAGTCCCTTTTGCCATGTAAGGTAACATATTCACAAACCCAATAATCAGGGCATGAATATCTTTGGAGGTCATTAATCTGCCTACTACATATATCTTTCTAAAATAGATGACTGTTGGTGTCTGAGCTCATCTCATTTCTCCTGCTGCTCAAATCATATCTTCAAAGACTAAAGAACTGTGGCTTAGAGAGCTGTGAAATATACAACCAATGGACAGTATTTCCTGGAATAATAGATATTGAGCATTATATAATGACATGCAATCCAACTGGTACCTTGCAATAGCCAGTCAAAGATAATAAAAAGTTGTGCTTAAGAAGAAGAAAATACAATTCAACAGTCTGTGCAAGTGAAGTTCTGAACTCCAGTTTTTCCTAAAGTGTATGCCAGGGAAATTAAATTACCATGGCTATTAAAAGTTGTTACACAGGAAACCATGAGTACATACATTTGGGAAATGTCAAGTTAAGCGAAGGTAAACTGCTTCCTTCTCAGAGTCCATAATGTGCTAACATGCATTGGGTATCTATAAGAGAGCAGAATGTGTTCTTATCTGATTGAAAAAAAAAACATTTTAAAAGAGCATCTCAAACTTTAGGAAGTGCTGGAGTCTATTTATTTTTCTGCCGCATCCTTCTGCTATTGTTTTAAATTGGCCGCTCCTTCCTTTCTTCCTGGTTTGTCTCCTATCCTTTTTTCCTCCATCCTTACTTCCTACCTTCATTCTTTCTCTTCTTCTTTAACCTATAGTCATCTCATCATGTAAATGTGACTTAAAATACATAGAACAGCAAAGAAGCCTTGGCCTGGGTTAAATTAGAAATACAGAGAACTGTTGTTAAGAAGGATATTGGTGAAAAAGAAAATAAAAACGAGTTACAGAGAGAATAATGCTTATTGAAACTTGACATTTCAATTGTGAGTCCCTGATTTATCGGATACCATAAGACTAAACATTTCTTGAACAAAGGATTAGGATCTATTTCTTCCATTTTACTCCTCTTGTTCTTAACTTCACAATCTTTCCAAGTTTGTCATCTACTCAGTCCCAGTTCTTCTTTGGAGGGGCCTGACTGAGCTAATAAATATACCACTAAGTTGTAAGGAAGGTTTCTCTGTATACCATCACCAGGCAGTAAGGGATTCTGATTTACTGAGTATTCCAGATATCTTTAACCTAACCATAAAGGCTAATATTTTCTTTTCAGTTTAATAGTTGTTGGTACACTATAATATATAACATGATTTCCTCATTATTAAAGACATCTTAACTTTTCTGATATCATTTTAAAACAAAATATCATAGTATGAGCCAATTCAAATATATGTTTATGGCATATGGACAAATGTAAGGCATAATAATAAATGACTCCAAAATATCGTGTTTTTCCATTTGATCCAAGTGTCTCCTCCTTCCATCCCATTTTCTGCTCTGCCCCACTATCTGCTTTTGAGCTACCCACTCTGCTTCTATTTGATCAGGCCTCTGTTGAATATCTTCTGGATCCACTTATATACCAGACTTCTCCCCCTTCTCTACCCATGATTTCACTCTTCGATGGCCCAACTAAATCCCTACCCATTCTAATCTTCTTTTTATCTGCCACCCTATCTTTCTCTTTTCTTCAGTCATAGCTTACCATGTGTGAGATATTACACATTTATCTCATTTAGATTACACAGCAATCCCATGATTCAGGTTTATAGACTTAGATGAGGACTTAAACTTACATAGCTTAATAAGAGGTGGCATTGGGATTCAAATCCAGATAAATCAGAATCCAAAGTTAATACACAGTCTCTCCAATTATACCATTGTCTTCCTAATTGTCAAATGCACTAGCCATTTTCAATCGTCCTTCTTCAGTAGGAGTTGGAATTGTCAATCACCCTCCTCTTGAAGCAACATTCTCTTGATTGGTACAATATAATGTTTTTCATCTTCGAATTTCTCTGATTGTTTCTTATGTTTCCTTTACTGGTTTCCCAGTATAGGAAATATCTTGATATCTTGATATAATCCTCCTACCTCCCCCTAAAAGTCAGTTGTCCCCAAGTTTTTTGTCATTTCAACTATACCATTTCTTCTATAGTACTATCTTAATTTTATCATTTATTTTTGTGTTTTGCTGTCATCCCTGGAAAGGTGATGCTTCTTAAATTTTTTTCTGTCTGATGCTTATCCTTGAGATTTAACAGAAAAAAAAAAAAAGATCAGCAGGAATCACTCAGTTGTGCAAGATGCCACAATGTCTGTGGAGTGACAGCACATATATGGCAAAAACTTGGTTGCCTATGTGGATTTGAATGCTAGATGCTACAAAGTAATCTTATTTTTCTCTTTTGTGTTTAAGGCAGAGCTTACAGGGGTAGGAGGTAGATGGTACTATAAATCCCTTATTGGAGGAATGGGGCGGCTACGTCTTGATTGCCCTTTCATGTGCTTATTGGCCATTTGTATGTTTTATTTGGAAAAATAGCTATTCAGATTCTTTGCTGTCTTTTTCAATTGGGCTATCTTTCCTTTTGAGTTGAAAGAGTTCTTTATATATTCTAGCTACATGTCCCTTATCTGATATATGATTGTCAAACAGTTCCCCCCAGTCTCTGGGTTGTCATTTTGTTTTCTTGGGAGTATTCTTTGAAGTAAAAAAGTTTTAAATTTTGATGAAGTCCTATTTAAAATCAATTTTTTATTTTGCTTGTACAACAAAAACATCTTATTGTCCTATTAAATAAGACATTCTTGTTTTCTATTTTTTCTTCATAGATAATACATGAATAAAATGTTAATATTAATTATTTTATAAGCATTTTGGATACAAAATCAATAGCCATCCTATATATTGGTAAAAGTAGATAGTTATCCCAACAAAAGAACAAAAAGAACAAAAAGGAATAAATATAAAAACCCTTATGAAGAAAATTACAGTTGTCGTCCAAAAAAATCACCAGGATGGCTAAATAGTAGAAAGAAGACCTTTATTGGCAATATCAGCTTGCAAATGGGGAAGAGACAGTCTCTGGTGTGGACTAAAAGTGCTCTCTCTTCGGGGAAGGGAAGAGCAGATTGGCTTTTGTGCCTCACAAGGCCCATATTCCTCAGTAGAGTCATACATGTTCAGCAGATTTGAGGGAAAAGTTATACATAATCATGAAGGAGGTCAAGTGCATGTGCAATGGGTAAACATAAATGTAACATACAACCCACATTCACTTTGGGGTGGGGTTTTAGCATTAAACTGAGATAGAATTTGGTTATTTATGTCAAAAGATGAACTATGGGACCCAAAGACAGCTTGTGCACAGCCTCTATAATCTGGCTGAAACTGGCTTAAGGACTGCAGTTGTTTATAAAGAAAGAATATTTGTAAGGCCAGTCCTCTGTCCAAACAGAGTGGTAGTTGTCTCAGTTGTAAATTAGAGTGAGGAGGGATCTGAACTCCTATTGTTAGAGAGTTTAGTAAGAATGTGGTTTTTTCTTTGTAGCCACAGGGATTTAGGAAGTTGTCACATCACCTAAGTCCTGAACTTTCAACTAGTAGGTAACTTTTGTTTTGTTAACCTTGGGGGTCCATCTTAGTTGTTAAAGGAGTGTCTATTTTGGTCTTCAAAATACAATATTGTATTTGGTCCACACAATACAACATTAAAGCACATAAAAGAAGATACGAATAAATAAACAGTTATGCTATATTCATTAGTTGGATGACTTTGTGTCAGAAAGATATCAATTTGCCCTCAAATTAATCCATATACTCAGTTAAGTTTGAACCAAAGTTCTAATAAATATTTTGTGCACGTCAGGAACTAGATAAATAAACCAAGATTCATATGAAAGAGCAACAGACCAAGAATATTCAAGTTAATTTTGATGAAGAACTAATAGGGAGACTTGTTTTATCTGGCATCAATACTTTCTTTTGATATTTAGTAATTAAGACTATGAGATAAGTACAGACAAATTGATCAATGAATTTGAACAGAGAACCCAGAAACCGGTCCATATATATATGACAGAGGTGAGTAATATAAATCAATGAGGAAAGAGCAGACTTCTCAATAAACAGGTTGAAAATATTTATTATTTGCATGCAAAATTAGATTTCTGTCTCACAGTATATACCAAGATTAATTCCGAGTAGATTCAACTTCTAAAAGTGAAAAGAAAACTTTTAAAATTTTATAATTTACATGAAAATATAGCTATGATGTTGGTGTGGGGAAACCTAAGACAGATAAGATGATAAAATAAGATACATGAAAAAGACCAACTAAAAGAAAAAAATGGAAATTGAACACATTAAAATTTGAGTCTTCTGAAGAATGATAATATAAAGAAGGAAGATAATGGGATTCAGAACTCAGTTTGTATAACCTAATATTTATGGACATCTATCAAATTATTAAAGACTTTTTTGTGAGATAGAAATAGGCACAGTCACTGGGTCATGACATTCTAGATGGTCCTTGTTTTCCAATTTACAGTATTTTTAATGATAGTGGTGGTGGTAGTATGTATATGCACACATGCATCTGTGTGTTTTATACTGAGTTTATATAATAGTCATAATAAAATGAATTAAATAGCCTATTTGTATAATATTTAATAGTTTGAGAGAAACTATTCACGGAGGATTATATCAAGATATCAAGTCTTCATATCTTGAAGCTCAACAAACAGGTGGACTTTCAATGCAAGTAACAAAAATCCATGTGCAATCTCATTTAAGCAAAAATAGTTACTATTTTGCTAAAATGTTTGAAGTCTTGGTTTGGTGTGAGTCTCCCTGAATTGAGGAGACAGAATTGGGAGTCTGAGGAACCTAAGCCTTCTAAAGTTCACCGTTAGATATACCAGAAAGGCGAGAGCTGCACACAGATTGAAGTTCAGAGTTCTGCAGAGGGTTCCCTCAAGTTCTCAGCTAAATATTCACCAGTACAAGTTTATGAAGAAACGGCTTGAGTTCAAGAAAAGATCTATTCTAAAGGAACAGAGGGAATAATCTCCCACACCCATTAAACATCAAATGGAAAACCTCACATTTCACTCAGCATTGAGTAGGAAAAGAAGGGCACTGCCTCAATAACAGAGCAAATTAGCCCTAGACTAACACCTGCTCCAAGCCCACCTAACAAGGCTTAAAAGCAAGTCTCAAAACCCTTGTAAGTAACTTACCTGTGTCTCAGCACATAGCTCAAAAATATTTATAGGAATACCAAAATATTTAACAGCAAACATGGTAAAATTTTAAAAGCCTGGTATCCAATAAAAAATACCAAATATACAAAGAGGCAGAAAAACACTTTCCATGTTAAGAAGAAAAATTAATCAATAGAAGCAGACTCAGAAGTGACACAGATGTGCTTACAGAAGTGCGAAAGAACATAAAAACAGTCATTTAAACTATATTATAACCATACAAGAAAGTAGAGGAAAGAGCGAGCATGTTAAGTAGAGACATGTCAGATTTAAGAAGATGCAAATCAAAATGCTAGAAATGAAAATGCATTTTTTAAGATGAAAAGTACACTGGATGGGATTCACAGTAGAAAACCATTACTAAACTTGAAGATATAGCAATAGAAACTATTCAAAATTAATCACAGAGTAAAAAGACTAGAAGTATTGAACAGAGCATCAGTGAACAACTTTAAGGAACCTATTACGTATGTAATTGTAGCTGCTGAATAGGGAACAAATAACTCATTTGAAGAAATAATGTCTGAAAAATTTCTAAATTTGATTTTTAAAAAACCCATAACCCCACAGATTCAAAATGTGCCATAGACACCAAGCACAAGAAACATTAAATCAATAGATATATATACACACACATATACATGCATATCAAAACATAGCACAAACTATTTAAAATTAACGACAAAAACAAAATTATAAAAGCAGCCAGAGAATAAAAATGTGTTGCATACAGAGGAAAAAAGATAAGGATGACAGCAGACTTATTGGAAACAATGTAAATGAGAAGACAGTAGAACATCTTTAAAACAGGGAGAAAAAAAAAATTGTCAACCTCACATTTTTTTACCCAGGGCAAATATCTTTCAGAAACAGAGGTGAAAATGAAGTCTTCTTCAGACGTACAGAGTCTGAAAGAATTTATTATCTACAGAACAACAGTATAGCAAATGATGAAGGAAATTCTTCAAGCAGGAGGAAAATGATACCCGATGGAAATCTAGATCTCCACTAAGGAACGAAGAGCACCAGAAGTGATAAATATATGGGTAAATAGAACAACATTTAAAAATTTTTATAACGCTGCTTAATATATCATTTAAAGTAAAAATAATAACAATATATTTTGGGGCTTATAATATACGTAGAAGTGAAATGAAGGATACCAACAGCACAGAGACTTCAAAGTGGTGATGGTGATGATGGTGATGAAAATATCCTTCTGTCAGGCTCTTATATTATCTTTAAAGTGATATAAATATATGAATATATGACTGATACTACTTGTAAAATGGTATGATATTACCTGAAGATAGATTGTGATAAGTTACAGATGTATCTTTTAAACTCTAAAACAACCACTATAAAAACAAAGGATTCCTGTAATCCCAGCACTTTGGGAGGCCAAGGCGGGTGGATCACGAGGTCAGGAGTTTGAGACCAGCCTGGCCAACATAGTGAAACCCCGTCTCTAGTAAAAATACAAAAAATTAGCTGGGCATGGTGGCCAGTGCCTGTAATCCCAGCTACTTGGGAGGCTGAGGCAGGAGAATTGCTTGAACCTGGGAGGTGGAGGTTGCAGTGAGTTGAGATTGCGCCACTGCACTCCAGCCCAGGCAACAGTGCAAGACTCTCTCTCCGAAAAGAAAAATCAAACAAACAAACAAACAACAACAACAAAAAGGACTGAAGCTAATAAGCCAGCAAAGGAGATAAAATGGAGCCATAAATAACCCACAATTCAAAAGGCAGAAAAGAAGGAAATGGGAACAAAGAACAGTTGGGACAAATAGAAAACAAATAGCAAAATGATAGATTTAAATGTAACTTTATCAATAATCATGTGAAATGTAAATAGTCTAGGCACCCCCATTAACAGATGCAGGTTGGTATATTCAATAAAAAAGCAAGACCCAATTATATGCTGCCTACAATAGATATACTTTTCATGCAAAATACAAATAAGTGAAAAGGAAAAAAAAACTGAAAAAGACATACTACCTTAATACTAATCAAAAGAAACTCAGGGTGACACTTTTAGTATTAGACCAAGTAGATTTCAGAGCAAAGAATATTAACAAGCATAAAAAGAGGCGTTTTATAATGATAAAAATAAAAATCAGTTTATCAGAAGGACATAACAATCATTTACATTTATGCACCTAATAACAGAGCCTCAAAATACATGAAGCAAAATCTGAGAGCATGAATGGCAAAATTAAAAATTCACAAGTAAAAGTGAAAAGCTTCACCATCCTCTGTCAATAATTGATGGAATAAATGGAAAACATTTCAACCAGCTTGGCCTAATTGACCTTTACAGAGCACCTGACAACAGTATAATACACACACTTCTCGGTACATGTGAAAATTTTATTAAGATAAACCATATTCTGGATTATCTAAATGGAGTTTAATAATAGGCAAAAGCCAGATTAGTGACTGCCTCTAGGAGAAAAAGTAAGTACCAACAGGAGGTGGGATGGGGATTGATAAAAGAAAGAGGAAACTTTTGAGGGTTATGAGTGTATACTGATCATAGGGATATATACATTCATCAAAACATATTGTGCATTTTACATCTATGTCTTGTAGTTTGTATAAACTTTACTGCAGTGAAAGTATACAAAAGGCATACATGACTATACAAATGATGTACATAAAATATCTCTTTTAACCTCTAATGTTGATCAAATAAATTAGTATGAAGTTAGTGTATCAATACTGATCATGGACTAATCAAACCTGAATACCATACTCATCACTGGTGGTGCCTCTAAATCATCTATAACCAAAGATGCTTATTGATTTCCTCAAGAAAACGTAATAAGAAAGTGTATTTTGCTAATTTCCTTGATCTATGAAACACTATTACAAATAAGAAAAATGAAAAACTTAATAGAAATATGAGCAAAACATACATTTTATAGAAAAAATAACAGATTAAAACACGGAAAGTTTTCAGCTTTATTTAAAGTCAATGGTTTGCAAAGTAAAACAACATTCTATTTTCACCTATAAGACTAACAAAGATCGTTTGACTACCATGTTGGTGAGAGCCATTCTCTTTCCTAATTAATAGCAGTATAATTGGTTAAAATTTTCTTCGGATGGTAAGTAGACAAGATCAAAATTGAATAACCCAATGCTCTTTGACCTAGTAATTCTGCTTATAAATATTTGTCCAACATATATACTTGGACATTAACAAAGACATATATATATACAGGAATGTTCATTGTACCATAACGATAGAAAAGATGTCAAAGATCCCTAATTGTATACCAATAGAGAACTGGCTAAATAAAAAAAAAGTATGACTATATAAAAGAATAATAAGCTACCATTAAAGAGAATAAAGTAGATATGTACATGTTGATATGAAGATGTCACTAAGATTTTGTATTTAGTAGAAAACATTTATATTTTGAAGACTAGTGAATAGAATACACTCTCATTGTATAAAAACAAGTATATATGGATGACTGAAAATGTTTAGGAAGGACACGGAGAAACTGTTGATGATTACCTTCCTGAGTCTGAGCTAAGAGGGAGACTCAATAATCACTGCATATCTTTTAGTACTGTTTGACTTTTTACTATGTGCTGCAAAATTTTAATAATGATACTAAATACCTTAACAAATATGATTTTTAAACATTAAAATGACAAAAAGAACACCCAAATTTATTCATATCATATTCAAAAAGAGAGTTTAATTCTAAGGCAATTGGTTGGGTTTTTGCCATTTGGGGTTTTTTTTTTTCTTTTTCTTTTTCTTTTTTTTTTTTGAGACAGAGTCTCGCTCTGTCACCCAGGCTGGAGTGCAGTGGCACCTCTCGGCTCACTGCAAGCTCCGCCTCCCGGGTTCATGCCATTCTCCTGCCTCAGCCTCCCGAGTAGCTGGGACTATAGGCACCCACCACCACGCCCAGCTAATTTTTTGTATTTTTAGTAGAGACAGGGTTTCACCGTGTTCACCAGGATGGTCTCAATCTCCTGACCTAGTGATCTGCCCGCCTCGGCCTCCCAAAGTGCTGGGATTACAGGCGTGAGCCACCGTGCCCGGACTTTTTTTTTTTTCCTTAACCATGACTTCTATAAGACATTCTCTGCTCAGTTGCCCCAAAGAGCTGAAGTCCTAACATATGGTTTTTTTTTTCTTTTAATCTTAGAAAAATTATAATCTGGTATACTGTGTGAGATTTTATGGATGCAATAATATCGCAGGGTTTAATAATTTTTACAGTATGTCATTGCCTAGTCTCCTTCTGTAATTCTTTGGAAAACTGACAATATTTATTAGTCCTTTGCCAAAAATACCAATCAATTTAAGCCACTCTGTTAAGTATGTAGTCCAACAGCTCATCTTCCAGGTTTCCTTATACTCCAAACCATGCCAGTTTTTTATCTAATTAATAGGCCCCAAAGATTATGCTTGCTAATCTCAGCTGTACTAATGCCCATGATAATTCCTAAAACAAATGCTATTTTCTGTATTGAACTTTTCTGATGAACTTTTTTTTTTAAAAAATCACCTTTTCAAACCACACTTAATAGATTCTAACCAATTATTTAACATAAAATTCTAAATAAAATTTCTTCTGTCTGAAGGTGAGAACTGTATTTGTGTTTCTTTGATTAGAAATATTAACCTTCCCTGATAAGAATTCAGTTCTACTATGTAGTAGTAAAATATCACAATGAGTTTTATTTAAAGTCTATTAGTTAAAAACATGTTTGCTGGTGGCTAAGAGTCTCTCAAAAATAAGATAATCTCTTATTTAATTACTTGGAAAAATGGTGATTCACACACATTCTAATTGCAATTTTAATAGCAGTCACTGACAACTCACCCAAGTAAAATCAATTCAATTTTAATAATACTTACCCAGGAATAAGATACATCAAAAACAAATTTTGAGTCAAATAAATTAAGAAAGATCAAACCTTGGCTAACACGGTGAAACCCCATCTCTACTAAAAATACAAAAAATTAGCCGGGCGTGGTGGTGTGCACCTGTAGTCCCAGCTACTCGGGAGGCTGAGGCAGGAGAATGGTGTGAACCCGGGAGGCGGAGCTTGCAGTGAGCCGAGATTGCGCCACTGCACTCCAGCCTGGGCGACAGAGCGAGACTACATCTCAAAAAAAAAAAGAAAAGAAAAGAAAAGAAAGATCAAACCTATGCCCTGAGTTTTCATCGTTTTTTTTCCAGATGTCCTAATTAACTTAGGTAGACGAAATATTAATCAATGACGTGATTAAAGAAGCATAACCAGGGGAGGAAAAGGAGCATAAAATAATTGTTCAGATTAACTTGAACTTGGGTTTGAATCACAACTCTTATGCTTACTACTCATCTGACCTTGGGCTACAACCTGTAAAGCTGTGATGATGATGATGATGATGATGATGATAATAATAATAATACATTTCCCTACGAGACAACATTGGGTAGTTTAAATGAGCTTAGTTCACAGTAAATCAATAAATCATAACTATAAGATTATTATTGATAAAGAATCTTTATTAGTTTGTATTTTCCTACAAACTATATAAAGGTATTACTTTATATATAAAGGTATATTTTCCTACAAGCTATATAAAGGTATTACTTTATATACGAATATATATATAAAGTATTACTTTATATATACACTTTGCATATTTTCCTACAAAATATATAAAGGTATTACTTTTGGTGATAGCCATTTACTGTGAGAAAAACAGAAAAAAAATCCCTCTGCTACATTAAGACTAAGATATATATCAGACCTCATGGAAAATCAAAATAGTTGTTCAGCCTTTCAAGATACAACCTGAGTTTTAGGGTCCCACTTTTTGGTTGGCATTTATGCTTTCTAAGAGAAAACATCTGAACTGCTCAATTAGTTACTATCCAATATGATCCAAGGGACAAAATTCTTGTCAAGTAACTTCTTTATTTTCAACCCTAAGCATGAACACAAATCCCTGGCCCAACTGGTCCAAGCCAGAAGATAAAGGATAGATTCACTGATTGATCATCACATATGCTGCCCAAGGCAACTTTATTTTATTTTATTTAAATTTTCAATCAACTGAGTTTTAGATTCAACAGCAATTTTAGGCAGAAAGAATGGGAGAAAACCACTTTCCTCAGGAGAAGGATGTCAGCATGGCAGGAAAGTAAGCCTTCATGAAAATATCTCTAGTACAATAGTCCAGCTGGAAAATTCACAAATCTGATGATGCGGTGTCTAGCAATTGACTGTAATCAGCCCACCAGGGCACGCCCTCTGGCCCTGTGGCCTAAGGACTCTCTCAAGGAGGTCAGCGGAGCAATCACAGGGCTCAGCTTATTGATTTGTCCTCTCTTAGGGATCACTACTTTGTGCTGTCCCATGTCCAGTGTCTGAACACCATTGTTTTACATACTTTGTCTCCCTTTTTTTCAATTAGTTGTTTTAGGCAGGAAGATAAATCTGGTCACTGTTACTCTCTGTTATCCAAAAGTAGACATCAGCCCTATATATTTGATTGAAATACATTGAAAACATAAACTCTCAAATGCATAGGGGGAAAGAGGATGTCTGAGAATATAGAAATTCTCAAAGAAGGTTGACCTTTAGATAAATTGATGTGAGATAAATTGGTTTAAGGCAAAACAATCTGTTTCTAAGTTTTCATGTAAGCTATCATTTTTCTATCTGAAAATGATAGTAGTATTCCAGGAAAGAGTCAAGGGCTAACTAGAACTTCAGTCAGACCATGAAAAATAGCAGCCACCGCCACAGTCAGCTGAATGCTGTACTTCTCCAGGTTTCTCCCATGCATGGGTCAAGAGAGATGAATTGTAGGTGTCAATTTGATGGCAAGCCTCTTATAATCTTTCATTTATTAACCATGTGGATTCTACCATAGTGCAAAAAGGAGAGTATACCAATAATCCAAAGAGATTAAATGAAGTCATAGGATTCCATACAAGAAAAACCTCTATAAATTTTAATGGTAATTGACTTCAGAGAAGCATATCTACACTATATCCATCTCCACAGAAGAGCCTAAGGAAACTCTATTGATACTTAGTTTCTAGAGGCAAAATATGAGTAACCCTCAACCCCCTAAAAGACTGACCAGTGTCCACAGGTCATGAAGCCACTGTTTCATTTTCTTTCTGGACAGACTGCTCAGAACAGGACCCATACCATTCACTCAGCCAATATCGCAATCATGCATTCAACAATTACCCTAGTAGACCCTGTGCCACATGCTGGAGGTATTATTACAATCAAGACATTCCTCACATATTTTTGTCTTCTTCCTAACCCCATGGGGAGGATGGGTCTGCCAAGCCTGCCTGATAAGACTAATTCCTTAGAGCTTATGCAGGTGACATTAAGTCCTATGCAGTTCAAATGCTTTTGAGACCCTTGTTTAAAAAATAAAAAGCTATGGAGAGTGTAGGTATTACTGTACTCTCTCCCTCACCAGTTTTAAGCAGTCAACTCAGAAACATCTGGTAACCATCACTGGAAAGTGGCCCACTACCTGCGCTTGTTCCATGCTGATGACTGGTGATGGTGCTACTTCAGAGCTGAATTCTCTGATCTAATGTCTTCTTCACGCATATTCTTTTCCCCTGAACCCCGCCTTCAAGGAAACTGTGCACACTTATGTCCCTTTGTTTCTTTTGTCTCTCATCCTAAATTTTAAAAAACTGTCCATTTGTTCTATTTCTAATTTTTTATTTGTATTGGAATTACAGCTTTATTGTTTCTGATTGTTTCGTATAACATATGTAACTTCCCTTTTTGAGGCTGCTCTGGTACCCTGAGTTAATGGGAAATCTATCTGAAGTTGCAAAACCATAATTCACATATGAGCCTTTGTAAGCCAGCCTTTTTGCAAGTTGAAGTGCTCTATACCTGCATATACAACGCTCTTGACATATTTCCTATGTGCTTGCCCCTATGTTCTTCATGAAACTGGGGAAGGATGCGGTATGGTCAAGAGGGGAGTGCCTGGAAGATAAAACAGTCTGTGAAGGAGTATTGAACATTTATTTATTTATCTATTTATTTTTAATGTAGGTAATGTTTTCTAAAGAGACAGGTCTCACTATGTTGCCCAGTCTGGTCTGAAACTCCTGAGCTCAAGTGATCCTCCTGCCTCATCCTCCCAAAATGTTGGAATTACAAGCATGAGCCACCATGCCTGGCCTAAACTCTAAAAGCCTGGGCAAAATAATTCAGAGAGACTGTAAATAAATGGCCTCCTTCAATAAAACAAATTATAAAATTTCTAAGATGTTAGATGTTGAAGAGCTCTAGAAAGAAAATCTCTGAGTGAGAGCAATTACATTTAAAGAAGCCCTGAGTCTCTCACTTGAGTTTTTTCTCTAGAGCTGCATTGTTTCCTAGTGTAGCCATTTAAGTCAAAATTGGCCATTTAAGTCAAAATTAAATAAAATTTGGAATTTAGTTCCTCAGTCATACTAGTCACATTTCAAATGATCAGTTGGCCAATGGTGATTAAGGGTGACCAGATTGGCCAGCACAGAGATTTCCATTGTTAGAGAAAGTTCAGCACTGCTCTAGAATTCTTGTTTGATTCCCAACTTTCAAGAGCTCATCAATGGCCTATTGGAACTCCAGCCTAAACATGGACAAAAATACTTCTATTTAGGAGAGGCAAGACAATGACGTCAAAGAGTGTTATCTAATACTAAAGAAAAATAAGAAAGTGATCCTAATCAGTAATAAAGGACTAAAGATAGTTGCATCTAAGGTAGAGGTTTCTAACATTTCAAGTTAAAAGAAAAAAGGAAAGCTGGTACAACTTTACAGATCCTGGTATCTACTCCTGCCAGGTTCTCATTTACCCTGAGGAAAACAAAAAGGCGAATTTCTTGTGGTCTCAGCAACTTTCCTCATATGTCATAGGCAACTGACAAAAAAAAAATGGAAGGCTTATAAGTCAGTTTCAAGTTTCTTATCTATCTACAGTCTACAACCTCATCCCCAGTTTTATCCGAATCTTTTCAATTGAGGTTGTTAGAGCTCTGACCTAGGGGTTCTTACTCCTGTTTCATCTTTAGCATAACCAAGGATGTGCAAACTCCTTACGGTAGGAAAGGATCATTGCAAAGCTGATTCTCAATCCAGAGAAATGGAAACCCAAAATGTTTATAGGCAGGAGTGATGTATATTTTTAAAAATTCATCCGCATGATGCTGATATGCCTTTCTGGAAGGAAAAACACCTATCTTTATTAAAAATGATGATTTCTCACATGTAATTGTGTTCTGAAGATATATGTATAGTAATGGCATTTTTGGTATTACTTGGTTTGTGTGATAGAATAAAATGTTAGAATTTAAAAAAAATGATGATTTCTAATACATATTTCACAACAAAACTCTGGAAAGTTCTAACCCTTCCCATCATTCCCAGGTTATCAGTTTTTCTCTGGAGCATTTTATAAGTACATTCATCTAAAAGTGCCATACTTGATTACAGGAAATTAGTCTTAGACATTAACAGCCCCATATGTAATAATAAAATCATCATATAATGAGTATAAATGTGACTATTGAAATAAAAATGATTTCAGTACTCATATATGGATAAGTAATAAAATGTCTTTCATATACCTCTTGCTTTTCTGAATGTTCTGCCTCCACTGAATCTGCAACCTCCAGCACTTAGATACTACACTGAATGCCAGCTGTTAGTATAAATACCAACGAGCCAAACGTCCCTTTGTTTATTTTGTCTTACCACGTTCCAGCACAAAAACACTAGAAGACATGCCAAAGTGGTGGATGAGTGTTTATGTGTCAGTCCTAGGAGAAATATGTGAAATTGTTGTTTTTACTAAATTGAGTCAATTACGATAAGAGCATTTCCTTATCAAAGAGGACACATGTTAGTAACAACGGGAAGAAAAAGTGGTGGTATATTATGTTGTAAACTAATAATTGTCTTCATTGTGTTTTATATATGTAACTAAAGGAATACATATTTTTATATCACTTGTGGTTTGCTACTAACAAGAAGGCAATAAATCTTAACACCATATTTTTCATGTATAGGAAGTAATGAGAAGGATGTCACACCAGAAAATTTAACATGGTCCAAAGGAAGAAGAAAGAAAAAGAAAAGGAAAAGTCCATTTTAAAGTCTTTCTAGGACATTTTGCTACCTAAAGGTGGCAATAAGAGTACTTGAATCTGTGGCTGGCAGACGATGAAACAGCTTCAAAGCCCCAAGTCCAGCAACACCTGAAAACAGGAAGTGGGCATTAAAACTCTTCTGCATGATAATATAAAGCATTGTTTCCAAAATGAAACAATTGGTAGGGGAATCTATATAGAATATGATGTGTTTAGAAAATATTTCTCTTCTTTATTGTAAAGTTAGGCTGAATTGTTTCTAAGAATTATTATCTGGCCAGGTGTGGTGGCTCATGCCTGTAATCCCAGCACTTTGGGAGGCAGAGGCGGGCAGGTCACCTGAGGTCGGGAGTTGGAGACCAGCCTGACTAACATGGAGAAACCCCGTCTCTACAAAAAATACACTGGTCATGGTGGTATATGCCTGTAATCCCAGCTACTCGGGAAGGCTGAGGCAGGAGAATCGCTTGAACCCAGGAGGTGGAGGTTGCGGTGAGCCGAGATCGCACCATTGCACAACAGCCTGGGCAACAAGAGCAAAACTCCATCTAACAAATAAATAAATAAATAAATAAATAAATAAATAAATAAATAATAGAATGATTATCCATCTTTGGGAGATGTGTGTGGTTACGTACTATATGATTTCATTTATTGATGTTCTTGAAATAATAAAAGTGTGATGATGAATCCATAGATCATTGTCAAGGGTGAAGTTTGGCAGGCGGGTGTGACTGTAAGGTAGAAGCACAAGAAATTTCTTTGGGGTGATGGAGGTGTGGCCGCCTGACTGCGGTGGTGGCCTCACAAATCTATACATGAGATAAAATTTTGTACTATACATTTTTTTAGTGCAGAAAAAAACTGGTGAAATCCAAATAAATCCTGTAGTTTAGTTAATTGTTTGCATTGATGTCTTTTTTCTGGTTTTGAAAACTATGCTATACTTTTGTACATTATTGTCATTGGGGAAGCTAGGTGAAGGATATACAAAACTATATTTTCTACTTTTGCAACTTCTATGTGAGTCTAAAATTATTTCTGATTTTTAATTATTATAAAAATTGTTTAAATTTTTAATTAAAAAATCATTTTTAATGTAAACATTTTAAAAAGAAAACCTAAACTCAGAGTGCAAAGGAAGTTTTCGTATATTTTTGTAAGTTTTTGGTCAGCTTTAAAATATCCAAAAGGCTATCAAGTGGCTTCTAGAATCTCCAGAGAACCAGGCTCTGAAGCCACACAGCCAGGCATAAGCTCAAATAATGCCACAGATATGGTCCAATGAAGATATCACAGCACTGCAGCTTCTAACTTTAGCACTGCAGCACTGGAGACCTAACACTGCCACAAACATCACTGCCCCTGTTGCCTCTGGGAGCTGGATGTAACTACTTCCTTAGATCCCAAAAAAGTTTGTGCAGAGCTGGACGCGGTGGCTCACACCTGAAATCCCAGCACTTTGGGAGGCTGAGGCGGGTGGATCACGAGATCAAGAGATTGAGACCATCCTGGCCAACGTGGTGAAACCCCGTCTCTACTAAAAATACAAAAAATTAGTGGGGCATGGTGGCGGGCGCCTGTAGCCCCAGCTACTCGGGAGGCTGAAGCAGGAGAATCGCTTGAACCCAGGAGACAGAGGTTGCCGTGAGCCAACATTGCACCACTGCACTCCAGCCTGGGCGACAGAGTGAGACTCTATCTCAAAAAAAAAAAAAAAAAAAAAAAAAAAAAAAAGCTTCTGCATAGTCTCTACTTTTTCACGAAAGTAACTTCTGACTCAGGGTCTGTTTGTATCTATCTGATGGAGGGCCTCTAGGGCATAGGATATAGCCCTTTCTGCAAAGGACAGTGGGAACAGGGTTAGCTAGCACTTTCAGCCTTCATAGTGAAAAGCAGAATCTCCCTCAAAAGGTGGGTGATTCTCCAAATATGATAAGGAAGCGCCAAAGCTGGGTCATCAAAAGAATGACAAGATCAGAAACTATGAAACTACAAGAAGAAAGCATTAGGAAAGTGCTCCAGGACACTGGTCTGGGCAAAAATTTGTTGTATAAGACCTTAAAAGCACAGGCAATAAAAGCAAGAATTGATAACTGGGATTATATCAAGCTAAAAAGCTTCTGCACAGCAAAGGAAACAATCAACAAAGTTGAGAGACAACCCATAGAATGAGAGAAAATATTTCCAAACTATCTATCTGACAAGGGATTCATATCCAGAATATACAAAAGTTCAAACAACATAACAGAAAAAAAATCAAATAATCTGGTTTTAAAAATGGGCAAAAGATCTGAATAGACATTTCTCAAAAGAAGACATACATATCTTCTTGGCCAACAGGTATAAGAACAAATACTAAACCTCACTAATCATAATAGAAACGCAAATCCAAACCACAGTGAGATATCATTTTATCCCTGTTAAAGTGGCTTTTTATCAAAAAGACAGAGAATAATGGATGCTGGAAACGACGTGGAGAAAGGAAACCCTTGCACACTGTTGGGGGGAATGTAAATCAGTACAACCACTATTGAGAACAGTATGGAGATTCCTCAAAAAAACTAAAAACAGAACTACTGTATGATCCAGCAATTTTACTACTAGGTGTATATCCAAAGGAAGAATATCAATATATCAAAGAGATATCTACACTCCTGTTTATTGAGCACTATTCACATTAGCCAAAATATGGAATCAACCTAAGTGCCCATCTATGGATGAATACAATTTTAAAATGTGGTGCGTTTACACAACAGAACAGAATATTATTCAGCCATAAAAATAATAAAATCCTGTCATTTGTAGCAACACAAATGGAACTGGAGGTCATTAGGTTAAGGGAAATAAGCCAGGCACAGAAAGACAAATATCGTGTGCTCTCATTCATATGTGGGGACTGAAAAAGAGGCTGTCATGAAAATAGAGAGGAGATCAGTGGTTCCCAGAGGCCAAGAAGGGTAGGGGGAAGGAGAAAATAAAGAGAGATTGATTAATGCTTCCAAATATTACAGTTTGATAGAAAAAAAAATAAGACCTAGTGTTTAATAGATCAGTGGGGCAACTATAGTTTACAATAACCTATTGTATATTTCAAAATAGCTAGGACAGAATAATTTGAATGTTTCTAAGTGTAAAGGAAAGACTAGTATTTAAGGTGATCGCTATCCAAATTACACTAATTTGATCTTTACGAATTATATCAATAGATTAAATTATCACATGTGCCCTGGAAAAAAATGACAAAGATCTACCACAAATAATAAGCAGAAGCATGGCCTTTCCCACATCATGCCTCTGCCAACTGAGCCAAATGTTTATCCTAATAAGAAGGTGAGCCTGGTCCACAGGGGTAACCATCCGTGATGCCAGTAGCCTAAGGTACAGCAGCAGCAAGGTCTCTCAACAGGGATGGCTTAGGAGTGGATATGGGGCAAGCTTCTTAAATTTCCAAAATATATTTAAAGAGGAAGTTGCTTCTTGAGGGGAAGGAAGTTAACACTTGCATTGTTGGTATGTGTGTGTGCCAATGTGTGTCAGATGTGTTGAATAGGAAAGTCATTTTTCACCCATACTAATAAAGTAATCAAATCTCTAGCACAAAAGGACTTGTAACATTTTTACTTTTGCTGCTTAGATAATTGGTAACAGGTATAATGGGAGACGATGAAAGATGAGATGCCCAGAAATGAAGATGTAAAGGAGAAAGGGAAGAAGAAGCAGCTTAACTAAAGTGCTAAGACTTAAAGGGAGCAATAAACAATATTAGTGATGGTGGGACTGAGACAAAAATCATTAAAATACAGTGTTAGTTTTGCAAACATGAATGACCCATATGAAAATTATTCGAGCTTAATAGCATAGAAATGCAAATATAGAAGTCTACATTTCACTGGGTTTCATAAAAATCATGTCCACTTTTAGTCAACCATCAATCCCCTTTACAAATATGACCTAGCTTAGTGCAAATCCTCTAATACTAAAGCAATCGACAACAAATATATTTTCATTAATATTTCTAAAATAAATAACCTGAAGAATTGCTGATCTTATTTTGTACAAATAAGTGAACTTCACCAAAACCATCACTGCCATACACTGTCAAACAATTAACATTGTGCCACTATTTGTCTCTCCTTCTGTAACTAAAGATAGTACCCCACTGAGAACTAACTGAGAATTTTGACATTCAGGGCAAACGTGTTGCCATACTGAGAATATAAACAACACATATGTAAATATCTTTAGGTAGATGTTTTAGGAAAATCAAAGAACTTTCAAACTCTTTTAATGTTGTAGCGATATCTAAATATGTTTTGTCTTTTGTTTTAAAATTTCCCAAGAATATTTGCTAAAGGCATTTGCTTCTTCAACTTCTTTTAAAAATAAGTTCTGTCACTGCTAGCTGCTCCTAAAGAAAAATTTTACAATTGTTTAAATTATGGAACTGTCAGGAAATATAAATTTTAGAAGGACTTTTAAGATACTTGGGTTACTTTCATAGCCTAAATGAGGATATTTAATCACTTTCTAAAAATATATTTAGAATCACACAACCCTGTGATTATTTAATTTAACTTTTGGGAAAAAAAAAATTTGCCAGTTGTCATAAGTATCAAGTTCCAACACAGCCTGAGTACAGAATTGGGAGGTTTTAATGAGAAGCTTGAGGTGTTGCTGAGGGAAAGCTTATGGCTAGAGAACAGGTGGACAGCCGAAGAAAGAACTTGGAGTGGGAATTTGTAACAAACCACATTCTCCAAGGCATTCTTGAGTCTCCCAACTCCCAGTGGAAGAGAAAGGATGACCCAGGGTACTGGGTGATGGAATTAAAGAACTAATTCAGTAAGTACACTGCTTTCCCTAGAGGAACCTAAAATTCTGAATCTCTAATCCTAGAGGAAGAAGCCACTTGAGTTTAACTCAGGAGGCAAAAGGACAGGACAACAGGATGCTCTACAAAATCTCTAGATTCTAAGCCCAGGAGAGCTCTGTAGCTATTCATAGAGATGTATCTAGGACTATTAAGCCAGCAGAATGGGTTCCTGGGGACCAAGTTCCATTCTTGAGCAGAGGTAGGAGGGAGGGCAATAGAGCTTGGGTTCAAGATTGGACTCCTGTGCCAGGGATGAACTGCATTGGAAACCAATAATGATAGCTGGGTTCAAACATCACCAGACCGGGCAAATACACACTTGCAGTAAAGAAAGCAGAAGTGGGTGAGGAAGAGATCATTTGGATTTCAGATGGGTACACAGAGCCTTGCCCCAAATATGCCAGGCATATTCTAGATCTTAAGATGCCTCCAGGCCTGGTTCTTATTGACTCACAAACTGACTGATTTTTATTGTTGTGAAAGGGCAGGTTCATGATTTAGTGTCATTATTCCAGTAATACCTATTAATTGTAGGAGCATTTGAAAAAATACAGAAAACATTTTAAAAAGAAAATAAATATTCCATTATTCCACCATAAAAAGATGAGATAAGCTCCATTAAAAACTTTGGTATTATTCTTTCAGTATATTTCATATTACATACACACATACACATATGCTATTATTATAAGAAAATATATTACACATTCTTCATCAGATGATCATATTATTGCAATTGCTTATTTAGTCATCTCTCCTGCCAAGAAGGCAGGAACAATATCTTCCTTACCATCATATTTCTACTACCCAGCATAATACCTAGCACAGGAAGACAGACATTATATAATAACACTTACAAACTTTGTAGGTTTTGAAAAATACTGCCAAATGGCCCTCGTGGCAGGTTGCACCAACTTTTAAACCCACAAGCAATTATGAGAGGTTCATTTCCCTTCACTCACAACAAAACTGCATCTTATCACGTTTTAAGAATCTTTGCCATTTTGCTGGGATTAACTTGTCTCTCATTATTCTATATTTGCATTTCTAAGCTATTAAGCTTGAATAATTTCCATATGGGCCATTTGTATTTGCAAAACAAACACTACCCCTTCAATGATTTTGCCTGGCTTCTGCCTTCACTAGTATTTATTGCCTCTTTAAAACACTAAGTTAATAGTTTTATTTGTTCCTTTGTCAGCCTCCTCTGAAAATGATGACACTTTTCAAACAGTACCACATCTTTCTACTCATTTCAGTTCAATGCTCATATAGGGCATTGTGCATACTGACTGTCCAAGCTGTGCACTAAGCAGGTGAATCTTCCCTGCCCTTGGATCGAGTAATAACAGAACTTAAAGAAGGCTCCTGGGTAGGAAAATCATGGGTACTGGTAACAGAGAGATATGGATTCAAATCCTGGCTTCTCTACTTACTCACTCAACAAGACAACCCCCAAGCATTTCAAATTTTTACTTAGGAGGAATAATACCAATTTGTCTTGCAAGGTTATGTCAATGAAAAGAGTCAAACTCTGTAAAATATTTGAAGAGATTTATTCTGAGCCAAATATGAGTGACCAATAGCCCATGACACAGACGTCAGGATGGCTATGGCTTGGTTTTATACATTTTAGGGAGATGCAACACATCAATCAGTACATGTAAGATGTACATTGGTTTGGTCCAGTAAGGTGGGACAACTTGAAGCAGTGTGCTATGGTTTGGCTTTGTGTACCCACCCAAATCTCATCTCAAATGGTAATCCCCATGTGTCAAGGAGGGACCTGGTGGGAGGTGATTGGATCATGGGGGCAGTTCTTCCCATGCTCTGCTTGTGATGATGAGTTCTCATAAGATCTGATGGTTTAAAGGTGTGGCACTTCCTCCCAACCTCCTGCCACCAGGTAAGATGTGCCTTGCTTCTCCTTCACCTTCTGCCATGATTGTAAGTTTCCTGAGGCCTCTCCAGCCATGCAGAACTGTAAGTCAATCAAACCTCTTTTGTTTATAAATTACCCAGTCTCAGGTAGTTCTTTATAGCAATGTGAAAACAGACTACTACACAGGGGCTTCCAGGTCATAGGTAAATGTAAATATTTTCTGATTAGTAATTGGCTGAAAGAGTTAAGTTATTGTCTAAAGACCTAGAATCAATAGATGGGAATGTCTGGGTTAAAATAAAGGGTTGTGGAGACTAATAAGGGGTTGCAGAGCTTTATTGTGTAGTTGAAGCCTCCAGGTAGCAGTCTTCAGAGATAATAGTAATAATAGATTGCAAATGTTTCTCTTTTTTTAACTTTTATTTTAAGTTCAGGGGTACATGTGCAAGATGTGCAGGTTTATTATATAGGTAAATGTGTGTCATGGGGGTTTATCATACAGATTATTTATCACCCAGGTATTAAGCCTAGTACCCATTAGTTATTTTTCCTGATTCTCTCCTTCCTCCCAACTTCCACCCTCCAGTAGGCCCCAGTGTGTGTTGTTCCCCTCCATGTGTCCTTGTGTTCTCATCATTTAGCTCCCATTTATGAGTGAGAACATGCAGTATTTGGTTTTCTGCTCCTGCTTTAGTTTGCTAAGGATAATGGCCTCCAGCTCCATCCATGTCCCTGCAAAGGACATGAGCTCGTTCTTTTTCATGGCTACATAGTATTTCATGGTGTACAGATTGCAAATGTTTCTTATCAGAATTAAAGAGTCAGTTCTATCAATCTTAAGGTCTCTGTGTTGATGTTAATGCTGGTCGTCTCTTCCTGATTTCCAAAAGGGAGAAGAGTATAAGGAGGCATGTTCACCTTGCTTTCTGTCATGGCCTGAACTAGTTTTTAAGTTTAGGTTTGGAGTGCCCTTGGCTGAAGGGAGGGTCCATCAGTTAAAAGGGAGACTTAGAATTTTATTTTTGATTTACTGTTGCTGCAAAGACCAAATGATGTAAAATATGAAAAAAAACTATATAAATGAAGGTTATATTGTTGCTCTTGTACTGCTTTCCTTGGGGATAAGTATTATATCCATCACCTGTTTTGAGGCAAATTGGCAAAGACAGTTTCCTTGCCAAAGCTAAAAATAAAACACGAGAGACTCAGTATTGCCCAGGAAAGCATATAAAGCTATTGAAGTTTGTATTTTCTATGGAAGTTAATAAAGCTAAATAAGAACTTATTCCATGGACACCTTAATGTCATTCTCAGTCATAACTCAATTTGCTCTACTTGTCTTCCTATAGAAGTAGAGATTTGTTCTGCAAAGGGAAGCACAGTCGACTTCCTCTTGGGGTTATTCCAACATGGTGGGGCATTGACTGACGTGAAAAATAAGCCTAGAGCTGAGGAAAGGACTGGGAGAGAATCCTAAATGAGCTAGAGCACTTGGAAGTCTAGCTTTCTTGTTTAAAATTTTAGCAAGCCAAAAAAGAAACTTTTAAGAAATGCCTCTTGTATCCTGTCTTCCTCTCCAGGCTTCACACAATTCAGACAAATGCTGCCATCTCAATGATTCTTACCCTAGGTGTCCCTACTACTTAGGGAATTCTCTGATTATCTCAAATAGTGTTGCATAGTTTCTCAAAATGCATTAAAGCAGATTACGTTTATTTTGTATTCGCTTTAAAATACTTAAATATATGTCTTACAATATTTTTAGAGGAAATAAAAGGGCATTTTGAAAGCAATTCGTGAGATGCATTTTTTTCTTGTCCAAGATGGGGACTCACTTGAAAAAAAAAAATCTAGATGATAGTTAGGAAAGATCATCTACATCAGTGTCCTTAAATTATAACACTCAGACTCTTAGAGCCTTATTGTTAGAGTAGGTAGATAGGCAGTTGTGAGTAGGGCAGGATGGAGCCCCAAAGAATGTCAGGTGACTGTCAGGTGATTGTCAGGCAGCTGGTGACATGAAGGGGAAAATTTCCTAACAAACAGGGGACATCTTGAGTTTGTGGGAAACCACTTCCTAATAAGAAATTTAAATGATGGAGTTTGACCTCCCTCTGGGGACAGGCCCAGGCATGTGTAGTACGGCATAAAATGGCAGAGTTTGACCTGTATATGACTTTCCTCTAAAAGTGCTTGTGATCTAGTGCTAGCAGTAAGGAAAAATTGCCCTAAGAAAGCATGTGCATAGCTTCAACCACCAAATGGCACATGTGGTCCCTCCCAGATATTGGCAAGACACTGCACATGCAACAGTTAGCTAACAATCCACCCCAGGGGAAGGACGAGGGGAAGAGACCAGGAAAAACCAGGAAATAGTAAATCTGTAAGAGCCCTGAGCTAACAACCAGGCAGGGCACTCAATCTTTTGAGTTGCCTGCTTGGTTCCTGATATAGTTTGGCTGTGTCCCCATCCAAATCTCACCTTGAATTGTAGTTTCCATAATCCCCATATGTTGTGGGAGGGACTTGGTGGGAGGTAACTGAATCATGGGGGCAGTTACCTTCATGCTGCTCTCATGATAGTGAGTTCTCATGAGATCTGATGGTTTTCTAAAGGGCTTTTTCCCCTTTTGCTCTGCACTTCTCCTTGCTGCTGCCATGTGAAGAAGGATGTGTTCGCTTCCCCTTTTACCATGATTCTAAGTTGAGGCCTCCCCAGCCCTGCAGTACTGTGAGTCAATTAAGCCTCTCTCCTTTATAAATTACCCAGTCTCAGGTATGTCTTTATAGCAGCGTGAGAATGGACTAATACAGTTCCTTCCAAGTGTACTTTTCTTTGCTTCAATAAACTCTCATTTCTACCTTAAACCTACCTTTGTCTCTTGGCTAAATTCTTTCTCCCAAGAAGACAAGGATGAATGATTATGAAGCCCACCCAAACTTGCCACTGGTAACACTATCAGCTATTTTAAATGGAAATGTGATATTTATATGCCATTAGACTGCCCCAATAATTTTAGCAGGACCTTAATATCCTCTTAGTATCCCCCTCCCTATTTGATCAGACACTCTGTTTGGCTGATAGAATTAATGTAAAAATGTATAATTACTATTTATAAAATTAAAAGTTAAAATGTGGTGAATAACTCAGAAGTCATTTTTGTTGGCTAAAGGGTTGGAAAAAACAATCAAGATCATTGAGTTTTATAGAGGAGGAAATTTTGACTCAACATCACTCAGTGAGTTAGTGGCTGGCCTGGGATTGGGATCTCCTGGCTCCTAGTACAGCATGTTTTCCCTCCAGTCAAAAATCAATACTTATGTAGAGTTGAAAAGGGGCTCTCTAAACAACAACAGTAATAATAAATAATTAAAATTCTCAGTCTTTATACCTTCAACAGACAGATATGTGACCCCTACAATATGCATGCTATGGCTATGTTTGCCTTTGCTGGGGGATACAAAGGTGATTAGGACAAATTCTCTGCCCTTAGAGACCTTTGCACCGAGGGGAAATAATGCATTGACTACATGAATAAGGAACACAAAAAATTAAATGGTAGGTGCTGTCAGAGACAAAGATGATGCACGACAGAGATTAAGAAAGTGTGAGGTTTAGACTGTTTTGACTTCAGGCCAAAAAATTGATTAGCATATGACAAAGAATGTCCTGTCGGGGTGCTGAGCTATACCCAATATTGGTTACTTTTCACCCGTCAGTGAAAATTTCACTCCTTTCATCCTTCCCTTCAATCTCTCATATAAAAATCTCATATAACCTTAAATTGAGGTTCAGTCCAAATATCATTTTCTCTATGTGTTTTTCTTAATCATCTCAGTCCTAAACAACCTCTAAAAATTCTGGGAGCACTGAGCATTTCTATTGCATACATAATACTTTATTCCATAAAGCCTGATGTTGTACTTATGTCCACATAGGTTTTGTTAAAAGAAAAAAAAAGGATTCATGACACTTGTTAAAGAAGGTAAGGACAACTTTATTCAGGGGACTGGGAAGTACTACAATGGAGTTTTGTAGTAGAGGAGAGACAGAGGAAATGAGCCTCAATTCTAAATGCAAGGACAATGAAGATTTATATCCAAGGAGCATGGTAAGGGGTCAATAGATGAAAGATTACTAAGAGGAAACATCAAGACTAGGGGGATTCTTGCTAGACCAACTCAACAGGATTATTGCTGAAGGCAGGCCAGAGTGACAAAATACCAGAGGTGAACGATTTTTCCTAAACAGACTCAGTAGGAGTCTTGCCAAAATGAGACTAAATGGGCCAATGGCAGAACCCAAGTTTGGGGACTAGTCAGAAAGAGGACTCAGAGAAGCTTGACTCAAATGTGGCCAAAAGAGAGAGTTTTAAACTGTGTTTTGGCCCTGCCTATCTTTCTGACCTTATATACTAGAACCCCACCATATTCTCTCTACATTTTGTCAAAAATAAATAAATGAGATTCCCAGGTATTTCATCTTCTTCTCATTTTCTTGCCTTCATCCTTACTGTTCTTCCTTTCTGGAACACCTTTTCTCCTCTTTGTTTTATCAGCATTATTTCCTCTAGCGAACCCCTTCTAATACCCTACCCAATTCCCCAATTCCCTGTCTGATGGGGTCTGAAATGAGGCAGAGCTCTCTGGGCAATTACATCAGGGCCAGGGATGCAGAGGCAGATCTCCTCTTACGATTGTCACCATGGCCTGAAGTAAAGCGCCAGGTCATATCCTGGAAGTCAAAACTGAGATAAGTGGAAACTGGATGATCATCACAGGGGAGCAAGCAGAAAGGAGGAACCAAGAAACTGAGCTGAAGTCAGTAGTATAGAAAACAAACCCACGGGGAGGAATAGACAGGGAAAATGTTAAGTATGATTAAGCGAGAGTGCAAAAGTCCCCCAGAAATTGTTCTCCAGTTTTCAATATGAACAATGTGCTTAAGCTGGAGACTAACTAAATGACAAGCACCCTTTTTATGTCCTTCCTCCGGGACATAGATTAGGATAACAAAATCTCATGGCAACTTTTGGAATTCTGGAGTTTTCCCCAGAAATCTCTTGAAACACTAATTTCTTCTCAGTATTGGCTAATTTCTGTGGCATGAGGGATACAAGCAAGTACAGGGAAATAGCTGTGGCTGCTGTGAACGGAAGGGATGGGGTTGCCCTGAGGGTGTGTATTAGGCAGGGTTCTCTAGCAGGACAGAATTAATAGGATAGATGTATATAAGATTGGGAGGTTTTTGTTTTGTTTTGTTTTTGAGATGGAGTTTTGCTCTTGTTGCCCAGGCGCGATCTCAGCTCACTGCAACCTCCACCTCCTGGGTTCAAGTGATTCTCCTGCCTCAGCCTCCCAAGTAGCTGGGATTACAGGTATGCGCCACCACGCCCAGCTAATTTTGTATTTTTAGTACAGACAGGGTTTCTCCACGTTGGTCAGGCTGGTCTCGAACTCCCAACCTCAAGTGACCCACCCGCCTCAGCCTCCCGAAGTACTCGGATTACAGGCATGAGCCACCGTGCCTGGCCTGTGATGGGGAGTTTATTAAGGAGAATTGACTCACACAATCACAAGGTAAAGTCTCACGATAGGCCATCTACAAGTTGAGGAGCAAGGAAGACAGTAGTGGATCAGTTCAAGTCCTAAAACCTCAAAAGTAGAGAAGCTGACAGTGCAGCCTTCAGTCTGTGGTTAAAAGCCCAAAAGCCCCTGGCAAACCACTGGTGTTAAGTCCAACAGTCCAAAAGCTAAAGAACTTGGAGTCTGATGTTCAAAATCAGGAAGCATCCAGCACGGGAAAAAGATGAAGGTCGGAAGACTCAGCAAGTCTGCTTTTCCATCTTCTCCTGGCGGCTTTATACTAGCTGCTCTGGCAGCTGATTAGATGGTGCCCACCCAGATTAGAAGTGTGTCTGCCTCTCCCAGTCCACTGACTCAAATGTTAATCTCCTTTGGTAACACCCTCACAGACACACCCAGGAATAATACTTTGCATCCTTCAATCCAATCAAGTTGATACTCAATATTAACCATCAAGTTGACACTCAATATTAACCATCACAGGGTGTTTATGTAGCAAATAAGAACAGGCAAAAGTTGTAGTGTTGAAGCAGGTGAGGCCAGGGGAATTTTGGTGACAAACAGAGGTTCTTCACAAATAATTAATTTAAGCTGTTAAATTAAAAATATGAGATTTATATGATGTTGACTTGAAATGTAGAGGAGTTTTTGTGAATCTAGCTCAGCAAGAACACATCAAATCATCTGGAATAGCTCTCATAAAATTAACTCAGGAGAGACCAGGTGTGATGGCTCACGTCTGTAATCCCAGCACTTTGGGAGGCCGAGGCGGGCAGATCACCTGAGGTGAGGAGTTTGAGACCAGCCTGGCCAACATGGCAAAACTCCATCTCTACTAAAACTACAAAAATTAGCCAGGCGTGGTAGTGGGCCCCTGTAATCCCAGCTACTTGAGAGGCTGAGGCAGGAGAATCACTTGAACTCGAGAGGTGGAGGTTGCAGTGAGCCAAGATCACGCCACTGCACTCCAGCCTGGACAACAGAGTGAGAGTCCATCTCAAAAAAAAAGAATTAACTCTGGAGGATTCTGTTCCATTAAGTAAATTAGGGAAGGATCAAATGTTTACAACTCTGAGGAACAACCACCATTTTTCTCAGTTCAAACCAGAACTCAGCTAGTAGAGCATCTAAAAGACAGACTGCTCAAGTTCAATCCATGTCTCACTCACTTTACCAGTGTGCCTGTGATTTCCTCTAGTAAATCTACTGCCAAGCCGTAGGTATGCACTATTTAGTAACCCGCCTGTGAAAGTTGTGTAGACACCTGACTAGGTGTAAGCATGGAAGACCTCAAATGACTCCTCTGAAGCTGAAATAAAAGCCACTGATGGAAACCAGGACCTGCAAAGTCTATGAAGGTAAAAGATTCCTTTGGTGAGCAGTCATGGTCATGGGCTTGAAAGACTTTGACCAAGCACTCATGTCTATTACCTGTGCTTGTGTTGGCACAACAGAATGAAGTTTTTATGTGATTGCTTATTTACCTATATCAAAAGTCAGGGATGAGTGGGAATTTAAGAGATGAAAAATTTCATCCAGTTTCCAGGAGGTAGGGCAGATTTGGGGGTGGCAGGAAGGGAAGTTCCCATAGAGGATGTGTTCAAACACAGAGGTAGGTGAAGAAGATCAGAATATGCCACCTTAAACTATGCCACTTGGCATATGAATTATTTTGATTTCAAGACGATTGAGAAAAAAAAGCAAAAGCAGACAGAACTCTCTTCCCTCCCCCATCTGCCTAAAAGCAGAGCCTAAGTTTCCCTTTGTGAAGGTGCCCCCTTCCCCTCTCAGATACCAGGAGGAACAGGAGGACCACCCTTATCACCAGAGATAGAGACAGAACTGAGATGAATCTGCATAAACAAACCTTACTAATTAATGCTTATCTGTCATTAGTTTCCCCCATATATTTACCTTCCCACAATTTGCCACTCCTAGAAGCCCAAAATCCTATATCCTTTATTTAGTCACTTCTCCACAATTTATCACCTTTTGTTAAAATGATATATAAGGCCAGGCATGGTGGCTCATGCTTGTAATCCTAGCACTTTCACAGCAGGAGTTGCAAACCTATCTCTGATAAAACAGACTTTAAACCAACAAAGATCAAAAGAGACAAGGGCATTACATAATGCAGCCATAAAAAAGGATGAGTCCATGTCCTTTGCAGGGACATGGATGAAGCTGGAAACCATCATGCTCAGCAAACTAACACAAGAACAGAAAAGCAAACACCACACGTTCTCACTCATAAGTGGGAGTTGAACAATGAGAACACATGTACCAGATGTACAAAGAGGAGCTGGTAACATTCCTTCTGAAACTATTCCAATCAATAGAAAAAGAGGGAATCCTCCCTAACTCATTTTATGAGACCAGCATCATCCTGATACCAAAACCTGGCAGAGACACAACAAAAAAATAAAATTTTAGGCCAATATCCCTGATGAACATCGATGTGAAAATCCTCAATAAAATACTGGCAAACCGAATCCAGCAGCACATCAAAAAGCTTATTCACCACGATCAAGTCAGCTTCATCCCTGGGATGCAAGGCTGGTTCAACATACACAAATCAATAAATGTAATCCATCACATAAACAGAACCAATGACAAAAAACTCATGATTATCTCAATAGATGCAGAAAAGGCCTTTGACAAAATTCAACAGCCCTTCATGCTAAAAACTCTCTATAAACTAGGCATTGATGGAACATATCTCAAAATAATAAGAGCTATTTATGACAAACCCACAGCCAATATCATACTAAATGGGCAAAAATTGGAAGCATTCCATTTGAAAACTGGCACAAGACAAGGATGGCCTCTCTCACCACTCATATTCAACATAGTATTGGAGGTTCTGGCCAGGGCCAACAGGCAAGAGAAAGAAATAAAGGGTATTCAAATAGAAAAAGAGGAAGTCAGATTGTCTCTGTTTACAGATGACATGATTGTATATTTAGAAAACTCCATCATCTCAGCCCCAAATCTCCTTAAGCTGATAAGCAACTTCAGCAAAGTCTCAGGATACAAAATCAAGGTGTAAAAATCACAGGCATTCCTACACACCAAGAACAGACAAACAGAGAGCCAAATCATGAGTGAACTCCCATTCACAATTGCTACAAAGAGAATAAAATACCTAGGAATACAACTTACAAGGGATGTGAAGGACCTCTTCAAGGAGAACTACAAACCACCACTCAAGGAAATAAGAGAGGACACAAACAAATGGAAGAACATTCCATGCTCATGGATAGGAAGAATCAATATCGTGAAAATGGCCATTCTGCCCAAAGTAATTTATAGATTCAATGCTATACCCATCAAGCTACTATTGGCTTTCTTCACAGAATTGGAAAAAGCTACTTTAAATTTCATATAGAACCAAAAAAGAGCCCACCTAGCCAAGACAATCCTAAGCAAAAAGAACAACACTGAAGGCATCATGCTACCTGACTTCAGACTATACTACAAGGCTACAGTAACCAAAACAGCATGGTACTGGTACCAAAACAGATATATAGACCAGTGGAACAGAACAAAGGCCTCAGAAATAACACCACACATCTACAACCATCTGATCTTTGACAAACCTGACAAAAACAAGCAATGGGGAAAGGATTCCCTATTTAATAATGATGTTGGGAAAAGTGGCTAGCCATATGCAGAAAGCTGAAACTGGACCCCTTCCTCACACTTTATACAAAAGTTAACTCAAGATGGATTAAAGTCTTAAACATAAGACCTAAAACCATAAAACCCTAGAAAAAATCTTAGGCAATATCATTCAGGACATAGGCATGGACAGAGACTTCATGACTAAAACACCAAAAGCAATGACAACAAAAGCCAAAATAGACAAATGGGATCTAATTAAACTAAAGAGCTTCTGCACAGCAAAAAAACTATCATCAGAGTGAACAGGCAACCTACAGAATGGGAGAAAACTTTTGCAATATATCCATCTGACAAAGGGCTAATATCCAGAATCTACAAAGAACTTAAACAAATTTACAAGAAAAAATCAAACAACCCCATCAAAAATGGGCAAAGGACATGAACAGACACTTCTCAAAAGAAGACATTAATGCAGCCAACAAACATGAAAAAATGCTCATCATCACTGGTCATTAGAGAAAGGCAAATCAAAACCATAATGAGGTACCATCTCATGCCAGTTAGAGTGGCAATCATTAAAAAGTCAGGAAACAACAGATGCTGGAGAGGATGTGGAGAAATAGAAATGCTTTGGGTTTTTTTGTTTATTTGGTTTTTTTGAGACGGAGTCTTGCTCTGTCGCCCAGGCTGGAGCGCAGTGGCATGATCTCAACTCACTGCAAGCTCCACCTCCTGCGTTCACGCCATTCTCCCGCCTCAGCCTCCCGAGTAGCTGGGACTACAGGCACCCGCCACCATGCCCAGCTAATTTTGTTGTTGTATTTTTAGTAGAGACGGGGTTTCACCATGTTAGCAAGGATGGTCTCGATCTCCTGACCTCATGATCCGCCCACCTTGGCCTCCCAAAGTGCTGGGATTACAGGCGTGAGCCACTGCACCTGGTCAGGAACACTTTTACACTGTTGGTGGGAGTGTAAGTTAGTTCAACCATTGTGGAAGACAGTGTGGCGATTCCTCAAGGATCTAGAACTAGAAATACCATTTGACCCAGCAATCACATTACTAAGTATATACCCAAAGGATTATAAATCATTCTACTATAAACACACATGCATACCTATGTTTATTGCAGCATTGTTCACAATAGCAAAGACTTGAAACCAACTCAAATGCCCATCAATGATAGACTGGATTAAGAGAATGTGGCACATATACACCATGGAATACTATGCAGCCATAAACAAGGATGAGATCATGTCCTTTGCAGGGACATGGATGAAGCTGGAAACCATCATGCTCCACAAACTAATACAAGAACAGAAAACCAAACACCGTATGTTCTCACTCATAAGTGGGAGTTGAACAATGAGAACACATGGACACAGAGAGCAGAACAACACACACCTGGGCCTTTCAAGGGGTGGGAGGGGAGGGATAGCATTAGGACAAATACCTAATGTAGATGACACGGTGACAGGTGCAGCAAACCACCATGACACCTGTATACCTATGTAACAAACTTGCGCGTTATGCACATGTACCCCAGAACTTAAAGTATAATTTTTTTTAAATGTAGTTCCAAAAAAAAAGATATGAAAATCCCCCAAGTTTAACCACTTCTTTGGGGGTTTCACTTCTTTTCTATGAAGCCCTCCTAAGACACATATAATTTTAAAAATATTAGCATCAAATATCATTTATATGCTTTTTCTACTGTTAATCTTTGTCAGTTTAATTTGCAGGTCCCAGGGGGGAAAGAAAAACATAAGATAGAGAAAAAGTTCTCCCCTCTTCTACACAGAGATTCCCTCCTCCAAGTAATTTTCTACCTTGGCTTCACATTAGAATCACCTGGGGAGCCTTAAAGAATTCCAACACTCAAGTTGCAACTGATATAGAACAATTAATATAGAATCTCTGTAGCGACCTAAGCATCAGTTCATTTTAAAACTTCCTAGGTAATTCTGTACAAACAAGGTTGAGAACCAATGCCTTATCCGTTTGGTGTGTGAAATTGTGCAGCAGTGTATAGTTGGCTTGAGGGAAGATGAATGTCAAAGCTAGAAAGCAAAGCCTATGTTTGGTGATCAATTCAAGGTTCTCTTTCCAGAGTGGATGCCAAGAGTATCCGAGAAAGTGTAAACACGTGATGAAGTGTAGCAGAATGGACTAAAGCAATGTGGCCCAGAGCATTTCCAAAGGTGGAGTGCATTCCCATATGCTGTGCTTATATACAGCTGTCACAGAACATGTGCAGGATGCCAGCAAGTAGGACACCTTCCAAAATCAGTCTCTCCTTCTGACTTCCCAATACATCTCATGTTTGTTTGCTTATTCTGATGTCTATCAGTTGTATTCTAATTGCTAAGATGCCTGTCTTTCCTACTATACTAGAAGTTTTTTTTCTTGAATTAGAGGCTTTTATATTATTTACTTTTTTTTTTTCGAGATGGATTTTTTGAGATGGAGTCTCACTCTGTCGCCCAGGCTGGAGTGCAGTGGTGCGATCTTGGCTCACTTCAACCTCTGCCTCCTGAGTTCAAGCAATTCTCCTGCCTCAGCCTCCCTAGAAGCTGGGATTACAGGCATGCGCCACCATGCCTGGCTAATTTTTGTATTTTTAGTAGAGACAGGGTTTTGCCATGTTGTCCAGGTTGGTCTTGAACTCCTGACCTCAGGTGATCCACCCACCTCAGTCTCCCATCTTTGCCTACCTACAGTATTTCACAATGTAATAAATCTTTGTTGATAAATTAACTATTTGTTTGCATGTTACATAGTATCTTAGTTTGTTCACACTGCTGTAACAAAAATGCTATAGACTAGGTGGCGTCAACAACAAACATCTATTTCTCACAGGTCTGGACACCAGGGAGGCCAAGATCTAGGTGTCGGCACACTTGGTGTATGATGAGGGCCAGCTGCCTAGTTCATAGCTAGCCATCTTCTCACTGTGTCCTCACAGGGTAGACAGCTCTCCGAGATCTCTTTGATAAGAGGACAAATCTCATTTATGAGGATTCCACCTTCATAACCTAATCACCTCCCAAAGGTCCCATCTCCTAATACCATCTCCTTGCAGGTTAGAATTTCAACATTTGAATTTTGGGATGACATAAATATCCAGTCTATAATACATACCTTTTAGATACAGTATCAAGAATACTTTTTTTTTCAAAGAAATTTGAAACCCTTAGATCAAGGGCATAAAGAAAATGGCATAGGTATTTCTTATTGGGAGACTCCAGAAAATCAACTAAAATCCTTCTCTTTAATTAGCTCAGTTTACATAAGGTAAATGCACATCCTGTATCAGAAGAGGGAGACATTATGTTCAGATGAGGCATGTTTTGGTGCCATGTAAATCCAAAGGTTAATGACCAGGCAGGAAGATATTTTAATTCTAATCTATGATTTCTAATTAATTTACAAAGAAAAATTTCCATTTTTAAAAATTGCTCTAAAAAATGATCTGCTTAAGGAAGGTGACTATATGATACAAATGAGAGTGAACAAAGAAATGATTCTGGGTTGAAATATTTTCCAAGGCTGCCTCAGCCATATTCAAGTTGTATTGGTTTTCTGTCAAATAAAACTAATGTGTGCTCATAAAAAGAATGATCTGCTTACCTGGTTGCTGCTGTTAAATTCAACTGCTTTAATAACAGAGATTGTGTGTATAGAAT